>NC_000010.11:40236000-40493345 GCF_000001405.40 Homo sapiens
TTGTGTGTATTCAACTCACAGAGTGGAACCTTCCTTTATTCAGAGCACTTTTGAAACACTCTTTTTGTGGAATTTGCAAGTGGAGATTTCAAGCGAATTCACGCCAATCTTAGACATGGAAACATCTTCGTATTAAAAGTACACAGAGTCATTTGCAGAAACTAGTTTGTGATGTGTGCCTTCAACTCACGGAGTTTAACCTTTCTTTTCATAGAGCAGTTTGGAAACACTCTATTTGTAAAGTCTGCAAGTGGATATTTGGACCTCTTTGAGGCCTTCGTTGGAAACGGGATTTCTTCATATAACGCTAGACAGAAGAATTCTCAGTAACTTCTTTGTGTTGTGTGTATTCAACTCACAGAGTTGAACCTTTCTTGAGAGAGAGCAGAGTTGAAACACTCTGTTTGTGGAATTTGCTAGTGCAGATTTCAAACGCTTCGAAGACAGTGATAGAAAAGGATATATCTTCGTATTAAAACTAGACAAAATCATTCTCAGAAAACACTTTGTGATGTGTGTGTTCAACTCACAGAGTTTAACCTTTCTTTAATCGAGCAGTTTGGAAATACACTCTTTGTAAGTCTGCAGCTGGATAATTGTCCCTCTATGAGCCCTTCGTTGGAAACAGGATTTCCTCTTATAATGCTAGACAGAAGAATTCTCAGTAACTTCTTTGTGTTGTTTGTATTCAACTCACAGATTTGAACCTTCCTTTAGAGAGAGCAGATTTGAAACACTCTGTTTTTGGAATTTGCAAGTGCAGATTACAAGCGCTTCTAGGCCTGTGGCAGAAAAGGAAATATCTTCGTATAAAAACTACACAGAATCATTCTCAACAACTACTTTGTGATGTGTGCGTTCAACTCACAGAGTTTAACCTTTCTTTTCATAGAGCAGTTTGGAAACACTCTGTTTGTAAAGTCTGCAGGTGCTTATTTGGACTTCTTTGAGGCCTTCGTTGGAAACGGGATTTCTTCATGTAATGCTAGACAGAAGAATTCTCAGTCACTTCTTTGTGTTGTGTGTATTCAAGTCACAGAGTTGAACCTTCCTTTACACAGAGCAGTTTTGAAAAACTCTTTCTGTGGAATTTGCAAGTGGAGATTTCAAGCGATTTGAGGCTAATCTTTGGAATGGAAATAGCTTCGTGTAAAAACTACACAGAATCATTCTCAGAAACTGCTTTGTTATGTGTGCGTTCAGCTCACAGAGTTCCACCTTTCTTTTCATAGAGCAGTTTGGAAAGACTCTGTCTGTAAAGTCTGCAAGTGATTACTTGGACCCCTTTGAGGACTTCGTTGGAAGCGGGATTTTTTCATTTACTGCTAGACAGAAGAATTCTCAGTAAATCCTTTGTGTTGTGTGTATTCAACTCACAGAGTGGAACCTTCCTTTATTCAGAGCAGTTTTGAAACACTCTTTTTGTGGAATTTGCAAGTGGAGATTTCAAGCGAATTCACGCCAATCTTAGACATGGAAACATCTTCGTATTAAAAGTACACAGAGTCATTCGCAGAAACTAGTTTGTGATGTGTGCGTTCAACTCACAGAGTTTAACCTTTCTTTTCATAGAGCAGTTTGGAAACACTCTGTTTGTAAAGTCTGCAGGTGCTTATTTGGACTTCTTTGAGGCCTTCGTTGGATACGGGATTTCTTCATATAATGCTAGACAGAAGAATTCTCTGTCACTTCTTTGTGTTGTGTGTATTCAAGTCACAGAGTTGAACCTTCCTTTACACAGAGCAGTTTTGAAAAACTCTTTCTGTGGAATTTGCAAGTGGAGATTTCAAGCGATTTGAGGCTAATCTTTGAAATGGAAATAGCTTCGTGTAAAAACTACACAGAATCATTCTCAGAAACTGCTTTGTTATGTGTGCGTTCAGCTCACAGAGTTCCACCTTTCTTTTCATAGAGCAGTTTGGAAAGACTCTGTCTGTAAAGTCTGCAAGTGATTACTTGGACCCCTTTGAGGACTTCGTTGGAAGCGGGATTTTTTCATTTACTGCTAGACAGAAGAATTCTCAGTAAATCCTTTGTGTTGTGTGTATTCAACTCACAGAGTGGAACCTTCCTTTATTCAGAGCAGTTTTGAAACACTCTTTTTGTGGAATTTGCAAGTGGAGATTTCAAGCGAATTCACGCCAATCTTAGACATGGAAACATCTTCGTATTAAAAGTACACAGAGTCATTCGCAGAAACTAGTTTGTGATGTGTGCCTTCAACTCACGGAGTTTAACCTTTCTTTTCATAGAGCAGTTTGGAAACACTCTATTTGTAAAGTCTGCAAGTGGATATTTGGACCTCTTTGAGGCCTTCGTTGGAAACGGGATTTCTTCATATAACGCTAGACAGAAGAATTCTCAGTAACTTCTTTGTGTTGTGTGTATTCAACTCACAGAGTTGAACCTTTCTTGAGAGAGAGCAGAGTTGAAACACTCTTTCTGTGGAATTTGCTAGTGCAGATTTCAAACGCTTCGAAGACAGTGATAGAAAAGGATATATCTTCGTATTAAAACTAGACAAAATCATTCTCAGAAAACACTTTGTGATGTGTGTGTTCAACTCACAGAGTTTAACCTTTCTTTAATCGAGCAGTTTGGAAATACACTCTTTGTAAGTCTGCAGCTGGATAATTGTCCCTCTATGAGCCCTTCGTTGGAAACGGGATTTCCTCTTATAATGCTAGACAGAAGAATTCTCAGTAACTTCTTTGTGTTGTTTGTATTCAACTCACAGATTTGAACCTTCCTTTAGAGAGAGCAGATTTGAAACACTCTGTTTTTGGAATTTGCAAGTGCAGATTACAAGCGCTTCTAGGCCTATGGCAGAAAAGGAAATATCTTCGTATAAAAACTACACAGAATCATTCTCAACAACTACTTTGTGATGTGTGCGTTCAACTCACAGAGTTTAACCTTTCTTTTCATAGAGCAGTTTGGAAACACTCTGTTTGTAAAGTCTGCAGGTGCTTATTTGGACTTCTTTGAGGCCTTCGTTGGAAACGGGATTTCTTCATATAATGCTAGACAGAAGAATTCTCAGTCACTTCTTTGTGTTGCGTGTATTCAAGTCACAGAGTTGAACCTTCCTTTACACAGAGCAGTTTTGAAAAACTCTTTCTGTGGAATTTGCAAGTGGAGATTTCAAGCGATTTGAGGCTAATCTTTGAAATGGAAATAGCTTCGTGTAAAAACTACACAGAATCATTCTCAGAAACTGCTTTGTTATGTGTGCGTTCAGCTCACAGAGTTCCACCTTTCTTTTCATAGAGCAGTTTGGAAAGACTCTGTCTGTAAAGTCTGCAAGTGATTACTTGGACCCCTTTGAGGACTTCGTTGGAAGCGGGATTTTTTCATTTACTGCTAGACAGAAGAATTCTCAGTAAATCCTTTGTGTTGTGTGTATTCAACTCACAGAGTGGAACCTTCCTTTATTCAGAGCAGTTTTGAAACACTCTTTTTGTGGAAATTGCAAGTGGAGATTTCAAGCGAATTCACGCCAATCTTAGACATGGAAACATCTTCGTATTAAAAGTACACAGAGTCATTCGCAGAAACTAGTTTGTGATGTGTGCCTTCAACTCACGGAGTTTAACCTTTCTTTTCATAGAGCAGTTTGGAAACACTCTATTTGTAAAGTCTGCAAGTGGATATTTGGACCTCTTTGAGGCCTTCGTTGGAAACGGGATTTTTTCATATAACGCTAGACAGAAGAATTCTCAGTAACTTCTTTGTGTTGTGTGTATTCCACTCACAGAGTTGAACCTTTCTTGAGAGAGAGCAGAGTTGAAACACTCTGTTTGTGGAATTTGCTAGTGCAGATTTCAAACGCTTCGAAGACAGTGATAGAAAAGGATATATCTTCGTATTAAAACTAGACAAAATCATTCTCAGAAAACACTTTGTGATGTGTGTGTTCAACTCACAGAGTTTAACCTTTCTTTAATCGAGCAGTTTGGAAATACACTCTTTGTAAGTCTGCAGCTGGATAATTGTCCCTCTATGAGCCCTTCGTTGGAAACGGGATTTCCTCATATAATGCTAGACAGAAGAATTCTCAGTAACTTCTTTGTGTTGTTTGTATTCAACTCACAGATTTGAACCTTCCTTTGGAGAGAGCAGATTTGAAACACTCTGTTTTTGGAATTTGCAAGTGCAGATTGCAAGCGCTTCTAGGCCTATGGCAGAAAAGGAAATATCTTCGTATAAAAACTACACAGAATCATTCTCAACAACTACTTTGTGATGTGTGCGTTCAACTCACAGAGTTTAACCTTTCTTTTCATAGAGCAGTTTGGAAACACTCTGTTTGTAAAGTCTGCAGGTGCTTATTTGGACTTCTTTGAGGCCTTCGTTGGAAACGGGATTTCTTCATATAATGCTAGACAGAAGAATTCTCAGTCACTTCTTTGTGTTGTGTGTATTCAAGTCACAGAGTTGAACCTTCCTTTACACAGAGCAGTTTTGAAAAACTCTTTCTGTGGAATTTGCAAGTGGAGATTTCAAGCGATTTGAGGCTAATCTTTGAAATGGAAATATCTTCGTGTAAAAACTACACAGAATCATTCTCAGAAACTGCTTTGTTATGTGTGCGTTCAGCTCACAGAGTTCCACCTTTCTTTTCATAGAGCAGTTTGGAAAGACTCTGTCTGTAAAGTCTGCAAGTGATTACTTGGACCCCTTTGAGGACTTCGTTGGAAGCGGGATTTTTTCATTTACTGCTAGACAGAAGAATTCTCAGTAAATCCTTTGTGTTGTGTGTATTCAACTCACAGAGTGGAACCTTCCTTTATTCAGAGCAGTTTTGAAACACTGTTTTTGTGGAATTTGCAAGTGGAGATTTCAAGCGAATTCACGCCAATCTTAGACATGGAAACATCTTCGTATTAAAAGTACACAGAGTCATTCGCAGAAACTAGTTTGTGATGTGTGCGTTCAACTCACAGAGTTTAACCTTTCTTTTCATAGAGCAGTTTGGAAACACTCTGTTTGTAAAGTCTGCAGGTGCTTATTTGGACTTCTTTGAGGCCTTCGTTGGAAACGGGATTTCTTCATATAATGCTAGACAGAAGAATTCTCAGTCACTTCTTTGTGTTGTGTGTATTCAAGTCACAGAGTTGAACCTTCCTTTACACAGAGCAGTTTTGAAAAACTCTTTCTGTGGAATTTGCAAGTGGAGATTTCAAGCGATTTGAGGCTAATCTTTGAAATGGAAATAGCTTCGTGTAAAAACTACACAGAATCATTCTCAGAAACTGCTTTGTTATGTGTGCGTTCAGCTCACAGAGTTCCACCTTTCTTTTCATAGAGCAGTTTGGAAAGACTCTGTCTGTAAAGTCTGCAAGTGATTACTTGGACCCCTTTGAGGACTTCGTTGGAAGCGGGATTTTTTCATTTACTGCTAGACAGAAGAATTCTCAGTAAATCCTTTGTGTTGTGTGTATTCAACTCACAGAGTGGAACCTTCCTTTATTCAGAGCAGTTTTGAAACACTCTTTTTGTGGAATTTGCAAGTGGAGATTTCAAGCGAATTCACGCCAATCTTAGACATGGAAACATCTTCGTATTAAAAGTACACAGAGTCATTCGCAGAAACTAGTTTGTGATGTGTGCCTTCAACTCACAGAGTTTAACCTTTCTTTTCATAGAGCAGTTTGGAAACACTCTATTTGTAAAGTCTGCAAGTGGATATTTGGACCTCTTTGAGGCCTTCGTTGGAAACGGGATTTCTTCTTATAACGCTAGACAGAAGAATTCTCAGTAACTTCTTTGTGTTGTGTGTATTCAACTCACAGAGTTGAACCTTTCTTGAGAGAGAGCAGAGTTGAAACACTCTGTTTGTGGAATTTGCTAGTGCAGATTTCAAACGCTTCGAAGACAGTGATAGAAAAGGATATATCTTCGTATTAAAACTAGACAAAATCATTCTCAGAAAACACTTTGTGATGTGTGTGTTCAACTCACAGAGTTTAACCTTTCTTTAATCGAGCAGTTTGGAAATACACTCTTTGTAAGTCTGCAGCTGGATAATTGTCCCTCTATGAGCCCTTCGTTGGAAACGGGATTTCCTCTTATAATGCTAGACAGAAGAATTCTCAGTAACTTCTTTGTGTTGTTTGTATTTAACTTACAGATTGAACCTTCCTTTAGAGAGAGCAGATTTGTAACACTCTGTTTTTGGAATTTGCAAGTGCAGATCACAAGCGCTTCTAGGCCTATGGCAGAAAAGGAAATATCTTCGTATAAAAACTACACAGAATCATTCTCGACAACTACTTTGTGATGTGTGCGTTCAACTCACAGAGTTTAACCTTTCTTTTCATAGAGCAGTTTGGAAACACTCTGTTTGTAAAGTCTGCAGGTGCTTATTTGGACTTCTTTGAGGCCTTCGTTGGAAACGGGATTTCTTCATATAATGCTAGACAGAAGAATTCTCAGTCACTTCTTTGTGTTGTGTGTATTCAAGTCACAGAGTTGAACCTTCCTTTACACAGAGCAGTTTTGAAAAACTCTTTCTGTGGAATTTGCAAGTGGAGATTTCAAGCGATTTGAGGCTAATCTTTGAAATGGAAATAGCTTCGTGTAAAAACTACACAGAATCATTCTCAGAAACTGCTTTGTTATGTGTGCGTTCAGCTCACAGAGTTCCACCTTTCTTTTCATAGAGCAGTTTGGAAAGACTCTGTCTGTAAAGTCTGCAAGTGATTACTTGGACCCCTTTGAGGACTTCGTTGGAAGCGGGATTTTTTCATTTACTGCTAGACAGAAGAATTCTCAGTAAATCCTTTGTGTTGTGTGTATTCAACTCACAGAGTGGAACCTTCCTTTATTCAGAGCAGTTTTGAAACACTCTTTTTGTGGAATTTGCAAGTGGAGATTTCAAGCGAATTCACGCCAATCTTAGACATGGAAACATCTTCGTATTAAAAGTACACAGAGTCATTCGCAGAAACTAGTTTGTGATGTGTGCCTTCAACTCACGGAGTTTAACCTTTCTTTTCATAGAGCAGTTTGGAAACACTCTATTTGTAAAGTCTGCAAGTGGATATTTGGACCTCTTTGAGGCCTTCGTTGGAAACGGGATTTCTTCATATAACGCTAGACAGAAGAATTCTCAGTAACTTCTTTGTGTTGTGTGTATTCAAGTCACAGAGTTGAACCTTCCTTTACACAGAGCAGTTTTGAAAAACTCTTTCTGTGGAATTTGCAAGTGGAGATTTCAAGCGATTTGAGGCTAATCTTTGAAATGGAAATAGCTTCGTGTAAAAACTACACAGAATCATTCTCAGAAACTGCTTTGTTATGTGTGCGTTCAGCTCACAGAGTTCCACCTTTCTTTTCATAGAGCAGTTTGGAAAGACTCTGTCTGTAAAGTCTGCAAGTGATTACTTGGACCCCTTTGAGGACTTCGTTGGAAGCGGGATTTTTTCATTTACTGCTAGACAGAAGAATTCTCAGTAAATCCTTTGTGTTGTGTGTATTCAACTCACAGAGTGGAACCTTCCTTTATTCAGAGCAGTTTTGAAACACTCTTTTTGTGGAATTTGCAAGTGGAGATTTCAAGCGAATTCACGCCAATCTTAGACATGGAAACATCTTCGTATTAAAAGTACACAGAGTCATTCGCAGAAACTAGTTTGTGATGTGTGCGTTCAACTCACAGAGTTTAACCTTTCTTTTCATAGAGCAGTTTGGAAACACTCTGTTTGTAAAGTCTGCAGGTGCTTATTTGGACTTCTTTGAGGCCTTCATTGGAAACGGGATTTCTTCATATAATGCTAGACAGAAGAATTCTCAGTCACTTCTTTGTGTTGTGTGTATTCAAGTCACAGAGTTGAACCTTCCTTTACACAGAGCAGTTTTGAAAAACTCTTTCTGTGGAATTTGCAAGTGGAGATTTCAAGCGATTTGAGGCTAATCTTTGAAATGGAAATAGCTTCGTGTAAAAACTACACAGAATCATTCTCAGAAACTGCTTTGTTATGTGTGCGTTCAGCTCACAGAGTTCCACCTTTCTTTTCATAGAGCAGTTTGGAAAGACTCTGTCTGTAAAGTCTGCAAGTGAATACTTGGACCCCTTTGAGGACTTCGTTGGAAGCGGGATTTTTTCATTTACTGCTAGACAGAAGAATTCTCAGTAAATCCTTTGTGTTGTGTGTATTCAACTCACAGAGTGGAACCTTCCTTTATTCAGAGCAGTTTTGAAACACTCTTTTTGTGGAATTTGCAAGTGGAGATTTCAAGCGAATTCACGCCAATCTTAGACATGGAAACATCTTCGTATTAAAAGTACACAGAGTCATTCGCAGAAACTAGTTTGTGATGTGTGCCTTCAACTCACGGAGTTTAACCTTTCTTTTCATAGAGCAGTTTGGAAACACTCTATTTGTAAAGTCTGCAAGTGGATATTTGGACCTCTTTGAGGCCTTCGTTGGAAACGGGATTTCTTCATATAACGCTAGACAGAAGAATTCTCAGTAACTTCTTTGTGTTGTGTGTATTCCACTCACAGAGTTGAACCTTTCTTGAGAGAGAGCAGAGTTGAAACACTCTTTCTGTGGAATTTGCTAGTGCAGATTTCAAACGCTTCGAAGACAGTGATAGAAAAGGATATATCTTCGTATTAAAACTAGACAAAATCATTCTCAGAAAACACTTTGTGATGTGTGTGTTCAACTCACAGAGTTTAACCTTTCTTTAATCGAGCAGTTTGGAAATACACTCTTTGTAAGTCTGCAGCTGGATAATTGTCCCTCTATGAGCCCTTCGTTGGAAACAGGATTTCCTCTTATAATGCTAGACAGAAGAATTCTCAGTAACTTCTTTGTGTTGTTTGTATTCAACTCACAGATTTGAACCTTCCTTTAGAGAGAGCAGATTTGAAACACTCTGTTTTTGGAATTTGCAAGTGCAGATTACAAGCGCTTCTAGGCCTATGGCAGAAAAGGAAATATCTTCGTATAAAAACTACACAGAATCATTCTCAACAACTACTTTGTGATGTGTGCGTTCAACTCACAGAGTTTAACCTTTCTTTTCATAGAGCAGTTTGGAAACACTCTGTTTGTAAAGTCTGCAGGTGCTTATTTGGACTTCTTTGAGGCCTTCGTTGGAAACGGGATTTCTTCATGTAATGCTAGACAGAAGAATTCTCAGTCACTTCTTTGTGTTGTGTGTATTCAAGTCACAGAGTTGAACCATCCTTTACACAGAGCAGTTTTGAAAAACTCTTTCTGTGGAATTTGCAAGTGGAGATTTCAAGCGATTTGAGGCTAATCTTTGAAATGGAAATAGCTTCGTGTAAAAACTACACAGAAATCATTCTCAGAAACTTCTTTGTTATGTGTGCGTTCAGCTCACAGAGTTCCACCTTTCTTTTCATAGAGCAGTTTGGAAAGACTCTGTCTGTAAAGTCTGCAAGTGATTACTTGGACCCCTTTGAGGACTTCGTTGGAAGCGGGATTTTTTCATTTACTGCTAGACAGAAGAATTCTCAGTAAATCCTTTGTGTTGTGTGTATTCAACTCACAGAGTGGAACCTTCCTGTATTCAGAGCAGTTTTGAAACACTCTTTTTGTGGAATTTGCAAGTGGAGATTTCAAGCGAATTCACGCCAATCTTAGACATGGAAACATCTTCGTATTAAAAGTACACAGAGTCATTCGCAGAAACTAGTTTGTGATGTGTGCCTTCAACTCACGGAGTTTAACCTTTCTTTTCATAGAGCAGTTTGGAAACACTCTATTTGTAAAGTCTGCAAGTGGATATTTGGACCTCTTTGAGGCCTTCGTTGGAAACGGGATTTCTTCATATAACGCTAGACAGAAGAATTCTCAGTAACTTCTTTGTGTTGTGTGTATTCAACTCACAGAGTTGAACCTTTCTTGAGAGAGAGCAGAGTTGAAACACTCTGTTTGTGGAATTTGCTAGTGCAGATTTCAAACGCTTCGAAGACAGTGATAGAAAAGGATATATCTTCGTATTAAAACTAGACAAAATCATTCTCAGAAAACACTTTGTGATGTGTGTGTTCAACTCACAGAGTTTAACCTTTCTTTAATCGAGCAGTTTGGAAATGCACTCTTTGTAATTCTGCAGGTGGATAATTGTCCCTCTATGAGCCCTTCGTTGGAAACGGGATTTCCTCATATAATGCTAGACAGAAGAATTCTCAGTCACTTCTTTGTGTTGTGTGTATTCAAGTCACAGAGTTGAACCTTCCTTTAGACAGAGCAGTTTTGAAAAATTCTTTCTGTGGAGTTTGCAAGTGGAGATTTCAAGCGATTTGAGGCTAATCTTTGAAATGGAAATATCTTCGTGTAAAAACTACACAGAATCATTCTCAGAAACTGCTTTGTCATCTGTGCGTTCAGTTCACAGAGTTTCACCTTTCTCTTCATAGAGCAGTTTGGAAAGACTCTGTCTGTAAAGTCTGCAAGTGATTAGTTAGACCCCTTTGAGGTCTTCGTTGGAAGCGGGATTTCTCATTTACTGCTAGACAGAAGAATTCTCAGTAAATCCTTTGTGTTGTGTGTATTCAACTCACAGAGTGGAACCTTCCTTTATTCAGAGCAGTTTTGAAAAACACTTTTTGTGGAATTTGCAAGTGGAGATTTCAAGCGATTTGACGCCAATCTTAGACATGGAAATATCTTCATATTAAAAGTACACAGAGTCATTCGTAGAAACTAGTTTGTGATGTGTGCCTTCAACTCACAGATTTTAAGCTTTCTTTTCATAGAGCAGTTTGGAAACACTCTATTTGTAAAGTCTGCAAGTGGATATTTGGACCTCTTTGAGGCCTTCGTTGGAAAAGGGATTTCTTCATACAACGCTAGACAGAAGAATTCTCAGTAACTTCTTTGTGTTGTGTGTATTCAACTCACAGAGTTGAACCTTTCTTTAGAGAGAGCAGAGTTGAAACACTCTGTTTTTGGAATTTGCAAGTGCAGATTTCAAGCGATTCTAGGCCTATGGCAGAAAAGGAAATATCTTCGTATAAAAACTACACAGAATCATTCTCAACAACTACTTTGTGATGTGTGCGTTCAACTCACAGAGTTTAACCTTTCTTTTCATAGAGCAGTTTGGAAACACTCTGTTTGTAAAGCCTGCAAGTGCTTTTTTGGACTTCATTGAGGCCTTCGTTGGAAACGGGATTTCTTCATATAATGCTAGACAGAAGAATTCTCAGTCACTTCTTTGTGTTGTGTGTATTCAAGTCACAGAGTTGAACCTTCCTTTAGACAGAGCAGTTTTGAAAAATTCTTTCTGTGGAGTTTGCAAGTGGAGATTTCAAGCGATTTGAGGCTAATCTTTGAAATGGAAATATCTTCGTGTAAAAACTACACAGAATCATTCTCAGAAACTGCTTTGTCATCTGTGCGTTCAGTTCACAGAGTTTCACCTTTCTCTTCATAGAGCAGTTTGGAAAGACTCTGTCTGTAAAGTCTGCAAGTGATTAGTTAGACCCCTTTGAGGCCTTCGTTGGAAGCGGGATTTCTCATTTACTGCTAGACAGAAGAATTCTCAGTAAATCCTTTGTGTTGTGTGTATTCAACTCACAGAGTGGAACCTTCCTTTATTCAGAGCAGTTTTGAAAAACACTTTTCGTGGAATTTGCAAGTGGAGATTTCAAGCGATTTGACGCCAATCTTAGACATGGAAATATCTTCATATTAAAAGTACACAGAGTCATTCGTAGAAACTAGTTTGTGATGTGTGCCTTCAACTCACAGAGTTTAACCTTTCTTTTCATAGAGCAGTTTGGAAACACTCTATTTGTAAAGTCTGCAAGTGGATATTTGGACCTCTTTGAGGCCTTCGTTGGAAACGGGATTTCTTCATATAATGCTAGACAGAAGAATTCTCAGTAACTTCTTTGTGTTGTGTGTATTCAACTCACAGAGTTGAACCTTTCTTTAGAGGGAGCAGAGGTGAAACACTCTTTTTGTGGAATTTGCTAGTGTAGATTTCAAACGCTTCGAAGACAGTGATAGAAAAGGATATATACTTCGTATTAAAAGTAGACAAAATCATTCTCAGAAAACTCTTTGTGATGTGTGTGTTCAACTCACAGAGTTTAACCTTTCTTTAATCGAGCAGTTTGGAAATACACTCTTTGTAAGTCTGCAGGTGGATATTTGGCCCTCTTTGAGCCCTTCGTTGGAAACGGGATTTCCTCATATAATGCTAGACAGAAGAATTCTCAGTAACTTCTTTGTGTTGTGTGTATTCAACTCACAGCAGTTGAACCTTTCTTTAGAGAGAGCAGAGTTGAAACACTCTGTTTTTGGAATTTGCAAGTGCAGATTTCAAGCGATTCTAGGCCTATGGCAGAAAAGGAAATATCTTCGTATAAAAACTACACAGAATCATTCTCAACAACTACTTTGTGATGTGTGCGTTCAACTCACAGAGTTTAACCTTTCTTTTCATAGAGCAGTTTGGAAACACTCTGTTTGTAAAGCCTGCAAGTGCTTTTTTGGACTTCATTGAGGCCTTCGTTGGAAACGGGATTTCTTCATATAATGCTAGACAGAAGAATTCTCAGTCACTTCTTTGTATTGTGTGTATTCAAGTCACAGAGTTGAACCTTCTTTTAGCAGAGCAGTTTTGAAAAATTCTTTCTGTGGAATTTGCAAGTGGAGATTTCAAGCGATTTGAGGCTAATCTTTGAAATGGAAATATCTTCGTGTAAAAACTACACAGAATCATTCTCAGAAACTGCTTTGTTATCTGTGCGTTCAGTTCACAGAGTTTCACCTTTCTCTTCATAGAGCAGTTTGGAAAGACTCTGTCTGTAAGTCTGCAAGTGATTAGTTAGACCCCTTTGAGGCCTTCGTTGGAAGCGGGATTTCTCATTTACTGCTAGACAGAAGAATTCTCAGTAAATCCTTTGTGTTGTGTGTATTCAACTCACAGAGTGGAACCTTCCTTTATTCAGAGCAGTTTTGAAACACTCTTTTTGTGGAATTTGCAAGTGGAGATTTCAAGCGAATTCACGCCAATCTTAGACATGGAAACATCTTCGTATTAAAAGTACACAGAGTCATTCGCAGAAACTAGTTTGTGATGTGTGCCTTCAACTCACAGAGTTTAAGCTTTCTTTTCATAGAGCAGTTTGGAAACACTCTATTTGTAAAGTCTGCAAGTGGATATTTGGACCTCTTTGAGGCCTTCGTTGGAAACGGGATTTCTTCATATAATGCTAGACAGAAGAATTCTCAGTAACTTCTTTGTGTTGTGTGTATTCCACTCACAGAGTTGAACCTTTCTTGAGAGAGAGCAGAGTTGAAACACTCTGTTTGTGGAATTTGCTAGTGCAGATTTCAAACGCTTCGAAGACAGTGATAGAAAAGGATATATCTTCGTATTAAAACTAGACAAAATCATTCTCAGAAAACACTTTGTGATGTGTGTGTTCAACTCACAGAGTTTAACCTTTCTTTAATCGAGCAGTTTGGAAATACACTCTTTGTAAGTCTGCAGCTGGATAATTGTCCCTCTATGAGCCCTTCGTTGGAAACGGGATTTCCTCATATAATGCTAGACAGAAGAATTCTCAGTAACTTCTTTGTGTTGTTTGTATTCAACTCACAGATTTGAACCTTCCTTTAGAGAGAGCAGATTTGAAACACTCTGGTTTTGGAATTTGCAAGTGCAGATTACAAGCGCTTCTAGGCCTATGGCAGAAAAGGAAATATCTTCGTATAAAAACTACACAGAATCATTCTCAACAACTACTTTGTGATGTGTGCGTTCAACTCACAGAGTTTAACCTTTCTTTTCATAGAGCAGTTTGGAAACACTCTGTTTGTAAAGTCTGCCGGTGCTTATTTGGACTTCTTTGAGGCCTTCGTTGGAAACGGGATTTCTTCATATAATGCTAGACAGAAGAATTCTCAGTCACTTCTTTGTGTTGTGTGTATTCAAGTCACAGAGTTGAACCTTCCTTTACACAGAGCAGTTTTGAAAAACTCTTTCTGTGGAATTTGCAAGTGGAGATTTCAAGCGATTTGAGGCTAATCTTTGAAATGGAAATATCTTCGTGTAAAAACTACACAGAATCATTGTCAGAAACTGCTTTGTTATGTGTGCGTTCAGCTCACAGAGTTCCACCTTTCTTTTCATAGAGCAGTTTGGAAAGACTCTGTCTGTAAAGTCTGCAAGTGATTACTTGGACCCCTTTGAGGACTTCGTTGGAAGCGGGATTTTTTCATTTACTGCTAGACAGAAGAATTATCAGTAAATCCTTTGTGTTGTGTGTATTCAACTCACAGAGTGGAACCTTCCTTTATTCAGAGCAGTTTTGAAACACTCTTTTTGTGGAATTTGCAAGTGGAGATTTCAAGCGAATTCACGCCAATCTTAGACATGGAAACATCTTCGTATTAAAAGTACACAGAGTCATTCGCAGAAACTAGTTTGTGATGTGTGCCTTCAACTCACAGAGTTTAACCTTTCTTTTCATAGAGCAGTTTGGAAACACTCTATTTGTAAAGTCTGCAAGTGGATATTTGGACCTCTTTGAGGCCTTCGTTGGAAACGGGATTTCTTCATATAACGCTAGACAGAAGAATTCTCAGTAACTTCTTTGTGTTGTGTGTATTCCACTCACAGAGTTGAACCTTTCTTGAGAGAGAGCAGAGTTGAAACACTCTGTTTGTGGAATTTGCTAGTGCAGATTTCAAACGCTTCGAAGACAGTGATAGAAAAGGATATATCTTCGTATTAAAACTAGACAAAATCATTCTCAGAAAACACTTTGTGATGTGTGTGTTCAACTCACAGAGTTTAACCTTTCTTTAATCGAGCAGTTTGGAAATACACTCTTTGTAAGTCTGCAGCTGGATAATTGTCCCTCTAGGAGCCCTTCGTTGGAAACGGGATTTCCTCTTATAATGCTAGACAGAAGAATTCTCAGTAACTTCTTTGTGTTGTTTGTATTCAACTCACAGATTTGAACCTTCCTTTGGAGAGAGCAGATTTGAAACACTCTGTTTTTGGAATTTGCAAGTGCAGATTGCAAGCGCTTCTAGGCCTATGGCAGAAAAGGAAATATCTTCGTATAAAAACTACACAGAATCATTCTCAACAACTACTTTGTGATGTTTGCGTTCAACTCACAGAGTTTAACCTTTCTTTTCATAGAGCAGTTTGGAAACACTCTGTTTGTAAAGTCTGCAGGTGCTTATTTGGACTTCTTTGAGGCCTTCGTTGGAAACGGGATTTCTTCATATAATGCTAGACAGAAGAATTCTCAGTCACTTCTTTGTGTTGTGTGTATTCAAGTCACAGAGTTGAACCTTCCTTTACACAGAGCAGTTTTGAAAAACTCTTTCTGTGGAATTTGCAAGTGGAGATTTCAAGCGATTTGAGGCTAATCTTTGAAATGGAAATATCTTCTTGTAAAAACTACACAGAATCATTCTCAGAAACTGCTTTGTTATGTGTGCGTTCAGCTCACAGAGTTCCACCTTTCTTTTCATAGAGCAGTTTGGAAAGACTCTGTCTGTAAAGTCTGCAAGTGATTACTTGGACCCCTTTGAGGACTTCGTTGGAAGCGGGATTTTTTCATTTACTGCTAGACAGAAGAATTCTCAGTAAATCCTTTGTGTTGTGTGTATTCAACTCACAGAGTGGAACCTTCCTTTATTCAGAGCAGTTTTGAAACACTCTTTTTGTGGAATTTGCAAGTGGAGATTTCAAGCGAATTCACGCCAATCTTAGACATGGAAACATCTTCGTATTAAAAGTACACAGAGTCATTCGCAGAAACTAGTTTGTGATGTGTGCCTTCAACTCACAGAGTTTAACCTTTCTTTTCATAGAGCAGTTTGGAAACACTCTATTTGTAAAGTCTGCAAGTGGATATTTGGACCTCTTTGAGGCCTTCGTTGGAAACGGGATTTCTTCATATAACTGCTAGACAGAAGAATTCTCAGTAACTTCTTTGTGTTGTGTGTATTCCACTCACAGAGTTGAACCTTTCTTGAGAGAGAGCAGAGTTGAAACACTCTGTTTGTGGAATTTGCTAGTGCAGATTTCAAACGCTTCGAAGACAGTGATAGAAAAGGATATATCTTCGTATTAAAACTAGACAAAATCATTCTCAGAAAACACTTTGTGATGTGTGCGTTCAACTCACAGAGTTTAACCTTTCTTTAATCGAGCAGTTTGGAAATACACTCTTTGTAAGTCTGCAGCTGGATAATTGTCCCTCTATGAGCCCTTCGTTGGAAACGGGATTTCCTCTTATAATGCTAGACAGAAGAATTCTCAGTAACTTCTTTGTGTTGTTTGTATTCAACTCACAGATTTGAACCTTCCTTTAGAGAGAGCAGATTTGAAACACTCTGTTTTTGGAATTTGCAAGTGCAGATTACAAGCGCTTCTAGGCCTATGGCAGAAAAGGAAATATCTTCGTATAAAAACTACACAGAATCATTCTCAACAACTACTTTGTGATGTGTGCGTTCAACTCACAGAGTTTAACCTTTCTTTTCATAGAGCAGTTTGGAAACACTCTGTTTGTAAAGTCTGCAGGTGCTTATTTGGACTTCTTTGAGGCCTTCGTTGGAAACGGGATTTCTTCATATAATGCTAGACAGAAGAATTCTCAGTCACTTCTTTGTGTTGTGTGTATTCAAGTCACAGAGTTGAACCTTCCTTTACACAGAGCAGTTTTGAGAAACTCTTTCTGTGGAATTTGCAAGTGGAGATTTCAAGCGATTTGAGGCTAATCTTTGAAATGGAAATAGCTTCGTGCAAAAACTACACAGAATCATTCTCAGAAACTGCTTTGTTATGTGTGCGTTCAGCTCACAGAGTTCCACCTTTCTTTTCATAGAGCAGTTTGGAAAGACTCCGTCTGTAAAGTCTGCAAGTGATTACTTGGACCCCTTTGAGGACTTCGTTGGAAGCGGGATTTTTTCATTTACTGCTAGACAGAAGAATTCTCAGTAAATCCTTTGTGTTGTGTGTATTCAACTCACAGAGTGGAACCTTCCTTTATTCAGAGCAGTTTTGAAACACTCTTTTGGTGGAATTTGCAAGTGGAGATTTCAAGCGAATTCACGCCAATCTTAGACATGGAAACATCTTCGTATTAAAAGTACACAGAGTCATTCGCAGAAACTAGTTTGTGATGTGTGCCTTCAACTCACGGAGTTTAACCTTTCTTTTCATAGAGCAGTTTGGAAACACTCTATTTGTAAAGTCTGCAAGTGGATATTTGGACCTCTTTGAGGCCTTCGTTGGAAACGGGATTTCTTCATATAACGCTAGACAGAAGAATTCTCAGTAACTTCTTTGTGTTGTGTGTATTCCACTCACAGAGTTGAACCTTTCTTGAGAGAGAGCAGAGTTGAAACACTCTTTCTGTGGAATTTGCTAGTGCAGATTTCAAACGCTTCGAAGACAGTGATAGAAAAGGATATATCTTCGTATTAAAACTAGACAAAATCATTCTCAGAAAACACTTTGTGATGTGTGTGTTCAACTCACAGAGTTTAACCTTTCTTTAATCGAGCAGTTTGGAAATACACTCTTTGTAAGTCTGCAGCTGGATAATTGTCCCTCTAGGAGCCCTTCGTTGGAAACGGGATTTCCTCTTATAATGCTAGACAGAAGAATTCTCAGTAACTTCTTTGTATTGTTTGTATTCAACTCACAGATTTGAACCTTCCTTTGGAGAGAGCAGATTTGAAACACTCTGTTTTTGGAATTTGCAAGTGCAGATTGCAAGCGCTTCTAGGCCTATGGCAGAAAAGGAAATATCTTCGTATAAAAACTACACAGAATCATTCTCAACAACTACTTTGTGATGTGTGCGTTCAACTCACAGAGTTTAACCTTTCTTTTCATAGAGCAGTTTGGAAACACTCTGTTTGTAAAGTCTGCAGGTGCTTATTTGGACTTACTTTGAGGCCTTCGTTGGAAACGGGATTTCTTCATATAATGCTAGACAGAAGAATTCTCAGTCACTTCTTTGTGTTGTGTGTATTCAAGTCACAGAGTTGAACCTTCCTTTACACAGAGCAGTTTTGAAAAACTCTTTCTGTGGAATTTGCAAGTGGAGATTTCAAGCGATTTGAGGCTAATCTTTGAAATGGAAATAGCTTCGTGTAAAAACTACACAGAATCATTCTCAGAAACTGCTTTGTTATGTGTGCGTTCAGCTCACAGAGTTCCACCTTTCTTTTCATAGAGCAGTTTGGAAAGACTCTGTCTGTAAAGTCTGCAAGTGATTACTTGGACCCCTTTGAGGACTTCGTTGGAAGCGGGATTTTTTCATTTACTGCTAGACAGAAGAATTCTCAGTAAATCCTTTGTGTTGTGTGTATTCAACTCACAGAGTGGAACCTTCCTTTATTCAGAGCAGTTTTGAAACACTCTTTTTGTGGAATTTGCAAGTGGAGATTTCAAGCGAATTCACGCCAATCTTAGACATGGAAACATCTTCGTATTAAAAGTACACAGAGTCATTCGCAGAAACTAGTTTGTGATGTGTGCCTTCAACTCACAGAGTTTAACCTTTCTTTTCATAGAGCAGTTTGGAAACACTCTATTTGTAAAGTCTGCAAGTGGATATTTGGACCTCTTTGAGGCCTTCGTTGGAAACGGGATTTCTTCATATAACGCTAGACAGAAGAATTCTCAGTAACTTCTTTGTGTTGTGTGTATTCCACTCACAGAGTTGAACCTTTCTTGAGAGAGAGCAGAGTTGAAACACTCTTTTTGTGGAATTTGCTAGTGCCGATTTCAAACGCTTCGAAGACAGTGATAGAAAAGGATATATCTTCGTATTAAAACTAGACAAAATCATTCTCAGAAAACACTTTGTGATGTGTGTGTTCAACTCACAGAGTTTAACCTTTCTTTAATCGAGCAGTTTGGAACTACACTCTTTGTAAGTCTGCAGCTGGATAATTGTCCCTCTATGAGCCCTTCGTTGGAAACGGGATTTCCTCTTATAATGCTAGACAGAAGAATTCTCAGTAACTTCTTTGTGTTGTTTGTATTCAACTCACAGATTTGAACCTTCCTTTGGAGAGAGCAGATTTGAAACACTCTGTTTTTGGAATTTGCAAGTGCAGATTGCAAGCGCTTCTAGGCCTATGGCAGAAAAGGAAATATCTTCGTATAAAAACTACACAGAATCATTCTCAACAACTACTTTGTGATGTGTGCGTTCAGCTCACAGAGTTTAACCTTTCTTTTCATAGAGCAGTTTGGAAACACTCTGTTTGTAAAGTCTGCAGGTGCTTATTTGGACTTCTTTGAGGCCTTCGTTGGAAACGGGATTTCTTCATATAATGCTAGACAGAAGAATTCTCAGTCACTTCTTTGTGTTGTGTGTATTCAAGTCACAGAGTTGAACCTTCCTTTACACAGAGCAGTTTTGAAAACCTCTTTCTGTGGAATTTGCAAGTGGAGATTTCAAGCGATTTGAGGCTAATCTTTGAAATGGAAATATCTTCGTGTAAAATCTACACAGAATCATTCTCAGAAACTGCTTTGTTATGTGTGCGTTCAGCTCACAGAGTTCCACCTTTCTTTTCATAGAGCAGTTTGGAAAGACTCTGTCTGTAAAGTCTGCAAGTGATTACTTGGACCCCTTTGAGGACTTCGTTGGAAGCGGGATTTTTTCATTTACTGCTAGACAGAAGAATTCTCAGTAAATCCTTTGTGTTGTGTGTATTCAACTCACAGAGTGGAACCTTCCTTTATTCAGAGCAGTTTTGAAACACTCTTTTTGTGGAATTTGCAAGTGGAGATTTCAAGCGAATTCACGCCAATCTTAGACATGGAAACATCTTCGTATTAAAAGTACACAGAGTCATTCGCAGAAACTAGTTTGTGATGTGTGCCTTCAACTCACGGAGTTTAACCTTTCTTTTCATAGAGCAGTTTGGAAACACTCTATTTGTAAAGTCTGCAAGTGGATATTTGGACCTCTTTGAGGCCTTCGTTGGAAACGGGATTTCTTCATATAACGCTAGACAGAAGAATTCTCAGTAACTTCTTTGTGTTGTGTGTATTCCACTCACAGAGTTGAACCTTTCTTGAGAGAGAGCAGAGTTGAAACACTCTGTTTGTGGAATTTGCTAGTGCAGATTTCAAACACTTCGAAGACAGTGATAGAAAAGGATATATCTTCGTATTAAAACTAGACAAAATCATTCTCAGAAAACACTTTGTGATGTGTGTGTTCAACTCACAGTAGTTTAACCTTTCTTTAATCGAGCAGTTTGGAAATACACTCTTTGTAAGTCTGCAGCTGGATAATTGTCCCTCTATGAGCCCTTCGTTGGAAACGGGATTTCCTCTTATAATGCTAGACAGAAGAATTCTCTGTCACTTCTTTGTGTTGTGTGTATTCAAGTCACAGAGTTGAACCTTCCTTTACACAGAGCAGTTTTGAAAAACTCTTTCTGTGGAATTTGCAAGTGGAGATTTCAAGCGATTTGAGGCTAATCTTTGAAATGGAAATAGCTTCGTGTAAAAACTACACAGAATCATTCTCAGAAACTGCTTTGTTATGTGTGCGTTCAGCTCACAGAGTTCCACCTTTCTTTTCATAGAGCAGTTTGGAAAGACTCTGTCTGTAAAGTCTGCAAGTGATTACTTGGACCCCTTTGAGGACTTCGTTGGAAGCGGGATTTTTTCATTTACTGCTAGACAGAAGAATTCTCAGTAAATCCTTTGTGTTGTGTGTATTCAACTCACAGAGTGGAACCTTCCTTTATTCAGAGCAGTTTTGAAACACTCTTTTTGTGGAATTTGCAAGTGGAGATTTCAAGCGAATTCACGCCAATCTTAGACATGGAAACATCTTCGTATTAAAAGTACACAGAGTCATTCGCAGAAACTAGTTTGTGATGTGTGCGTTCAACTCACAGAGTTTAACCTTTCTTTTCATAGAGCAGTTTGGAAACACTCTGTTTGTAAAGTCTGCAGGTGCTTATTTGGACTTCTTTGAGGCCTTCGTTGGAAACGGGATTTCTTCATATAATGCTAGACAGAAGAATTCTCAGTCACTTCTTTGTGTTGTGTGTATTCAAGTCACAGAGTTGAACCTTCCTTTACACAGAGCAGTTTTGAAAAACTCTTTCTGTGGAATTTGCAAGTGGAGATTTCAAGCGATTTGAGGCTAATCTTTGAAATGGAAATAGCTTCGTGTAAAAACTACACAGAATCATTCTCAGAAACTTCTTTGTTATGTGTGCGTTCAGCTCACAGAGTTCCATCTTTCTTTTCATAGAGCAGTTTGGAAAGACTCTGTCTGTAAAGTCTGCAAGTGATTACTTGGACCCCTTTGAGGACTTCGTTGGAAGCGGGATTTTTTCATTTACTGCTAGACAGAAGAATTCTCAGTAAATCCTTTGTGTTGTGTGTATTCAACTCACAGAGTGGAACCTTCCTTTATTCAGAGCAGTTTTGAAACACTCTTTTTGTGGAATTTGCAAGTGGAGATTTCAAGCGAATTCACGCCAATCTTAGACATGGAAACATCTTCGTATTAAAAGTACACAGAGTCATTCGCAGAAACTAGTTTGTGATGTGTGCCTTCAACTCACGGAGTTTAACCTTTCTTTTCATAGAGCAGTTTGGAAACACTCTATTTGTAAAGTCTGCAAGTGGATATTTGGACCTCTTTGAGGCCTTCGTTGGAAACGGGATTTCTTCATATAACGCTAGACAGAAGAATTCTCAGTAACTTCTTTGTGTTGTTTGTATTCAACTCACAGATTTGAACCTTCCTTTAGAGAGAGCAGATTTGAAACACTCTGTTTTTGGAATTTGCAAGTGGAGATTACAAGCGCTTCTAGGCCTATGGCAGAAAAGGAAATATTCTTCGTATAAAAACTACACAGAAATCATTCTCAACAACTACTTTGTGATGTGTGCGTTCAATTCACAGAGTTTAACCTTTCTTTTCATAGTGCAGTTATGAAACACTCTGTTTGTAAAGCCTGCAAGTGCTTTTTTGGACTTCATTGAGGCCTTCGTTGGAAACGGGATTTCTTCATATAATGCTAGACAGAAGAATTCTCAGTAAATCCTTTGTGTTGTGTGTATTCAACTCACAGAGTGGAACCTTCCTTTATTCAGAGCACTTTTGAAAAACAGTTTTTGTGGAATTTGCAAGTGGAGATTTCAAGCGATTTGACGCCAATCTTAGACATGGAAATATCTTCATATTAAAAGTACACAGAAGTCATTCGTAGAAACTAGTTTGTGATGTGTGCCTTCAACTCACAGAGTTTAACCTTTCTTTTCATAGAGCAGTTTGGAAACACTCTATTTGTAAAGTCTGCAAGTGGATATTTGGACCTGTTTGAGGCCTTCGTTGGAAACGGGATTTCTTCATACAACGCTAGACAGAAGAATTCTCAGTAAATCCTTTGTGTTGTGTGTATTCAACTCACAGAGTGGAACCTTCCTTTATTCAGAGCAGTTTTGAAACACTCTTTTTGTGGAATTTGCAAGTGGAGATTTCAAGCGAATTCACGCCAATCTTAGACATGGAAACATCTTCGTATTAAAAGTACACAGAGTCATTCGCAGAAACTAGTTTGTGATGTGTGCCTTCAACTCACAGAGTTTAACCTTTCTTTTCATAGAGCAGTTTGGAAACACTCTATTTGTAAAGTCTGCAAGTGGATATTTGGACGTCTTTGAGGCCTTCGTTGGAAACGGGATTTCTTCATATAACGCTAGACAGAAGAATTCTCAGTAACTTCTTTGTGTTGTGTGTATTCCACTCACAGAGTTGAACCTTTCTTGAGAGAGAGCAGAGTTGAAACACTCTGTTTGTGGAATTTGCTAGTGCAGATTTCAAACGCTTCGAAGACAGTGATAGAAAAGGATATATCTTCGTATTAAAACTAGACAAAATCATTCTCAGAAAACACTTTGTGATGTGTGTGTTCAACTCACAGAGTTTAACCTTTCTTTAATCGAGCAGTTTGGAAATACACTCTTTGTAAGTCTGCAGCTGGATAATTGTCCCTCTATGAGCCCTTCGTTGGAAACGGGATTTCCTCTTATAATGCTAGACAGAAGAATTCTCAGTAACTACTTTGTGTTGTTTGTATTCAACTCACAGATTTGAACCTTCCTTTAGAGAGAGCAGATTTGAAACACTCTGTTTTTGGAATTTGCAAGTGCAGATTACAAGCGCTTCTAGGCCTATGGCAGAAAAGGAAATATCTTCGTATAAAAACTACACAGAATCATTCTCAGAAAACACTTTGTGATGTGTGTGTTCAACTCACAGAGTTTAACCCTTCTTTAATCGAGCAGTTTGGAAATACACTCTTTGTAAGTCTGCAGCTGGATAATTGTCCCTCTATGAGCCCTTCGTTGGAAACGGGATTTCCTCTTATAATGCTAGACAGAAGAATTCTCAGTAACTTCTTTGTGTTGTTTGTATTCAACTCACAGATTTGAACCTTCCTTTAGAGAGAGCAGATTTGAAACACTCTGTTTTTGGAATTTGCAAGTGCAGATTACAAGCGCTTCTAGGCCTATGGCAGAAAAGGAAATATCTTCGTATAAAAACTACACAGAATCATTCTCAACAACTACTTTGTGATGTGTGCGTTCAACTCACAGAGTTTAACCTTTCTTTTCATAGAGCAGTTTGGAAACACTCTGTTTGTAAAGTCTGCAGGTGCTTATTTGGACTTCTTTGAGGCCTTCGTTGGAAACGGGATTTCTTCATGTAATGCTAGACAGAAGAATTCTCAGTCACTTCTTTGTGTTGTGTGTATTCAAGTCACAGAGTTGAACCTTCCTTTACACAGAGCAGTTTTGAAAAACTCTTTCTGTGGAATTTGCAAGTGGAGATTTCAAGCGATTTGAGGCTAATCTTTGAAATGGAAATAGCTTCGTGTAAAAACCACACAGAATCATTCTCAGAAACTGCTTTGTTATGTGTGCGTTCAGCTCACAGAGTTCCACCTTTCTTTTCATAGAGCAGTTTGGAAAGACTCTGTCTGTAAAGTCTGCAAGTGATTACTTGGACCCCTTTGAGGACTTCGTTGGAAGCGGGATTTTTTCATTTACTGCTAGACAGAAGAATTCTCAGTAAATCCTTTGTGTTGTGTGTATTCAACTCACAGAGTGGAACCTTCCTTTATTCAGAGCACTTTTGAAACACTCTTTTTGTGGAATTTGCAAGTGGAGATTTCAAGCGAATTCACGCCAATCTTAGACATGGAAACATCTTCGTATTAAAAGTACACAGGTCATTCGCAGAAACTAGTTTGTGATGTGTGCCTTCAACTCACGGAGTTTAACCTTTCTTTTCATAGAGCAGTTTGGAAACACTCTATTTGTAAAGTCTGCAAGTGGATATTTGGACCTCTTTGAGGCCTTCGTTGGAAACGGGATTTCTTCATATAAAGCTAGACAGAAGAATTCTCAGTAACTTCTTTGTGTTGTGTGTATTCCACTCACAGAGTTGAACCTTTCTTGAGAGAGAGCAGAGTTGAAACACTCTGTTTGTGGAATTTGCTAGTGCAGATTTCAAACGCTTCGAAGACAGTGATAGAAAAGGATATATCTTCGTATTAAAACTAGACAAAATCATTCTCAGAAAACACTTTGTGATGTGTGTGTTCAACTCACAGAGTTTAACCTTTCTTTAATCGAGCAGTTTGGAAATACACTCTTTGTAAGTCTGCAGCTGGATAATTGTCCCTCTATGAGCCCTTCGTTGGAAACGGGATTTCCTCTTATAATGCTAGACAGAAGAATTCTCAGTAACTTCTTTGTGTTGTTTGTATTCAACTCACAGATTTGAACCTTCCTTTAGAGAGAGCAGATTTGAAACACTCTCTTTTTGGAATTTGCAAGTGCAGATTACAAGCGCTTCTAGGCCTATGGCAGAAAAGGAAATATCTTCGTATAAAAACTACACAGAATCATTCTCAACAACTACTTTGTGATGTGTGCGTTCAACTCACAGAGTTTAACCTTTCTTTTCATAGAGCAGTTTGGAAACACTCTGTTTGTAAAGTCTGCAGGTGCTTATTTGGACTTCTTTGAGGCCTTCGTTGGAAACGGGATTTCTTCATATAATGCTAGACAGAAGAATTCTCAGTCACTTCTTTGTGTTGTGTGTATTCAAGTCACAGAGTTGAACCTTCCTTTACACAGAGCAGTTTTGAAAAACTCTTTCTGTGGAATTTGCAAGTGGAGATTTCAAGCGATTTGAGGCTAATCTTTGAAATGGAAATAGCTTCGTGTAAAAACTACACAGAATCATTCTCAGAAACTGCTTTGTTATGTGTGCGTTCAGCTCACAGAGTTCCACCTTTCTTTTCATAGAACAGTTTGGAAAGACTCTGTCTGTAAAGTCTGCAAGTGATTACTTGGACCCCTTTGAGGACTTCGTTGGAAGCGGGATTTTTTCATTTACTGCTAGACAGAAGAATTCTCAGTAAATCCTTTGTGTTGTGTGTATTCAACTCACAGAGTGGAACCTTCCTTTATTCAGAGCAGTTTTGAAACACTCTTTTTGTGGAAATTGCAAGTGGAGATTTCAAGCGAATTCACGCCAATCTTAGACATGGAAACATCTTCGTATTAAAAGTACACAGAGTCATTCGCAGAAACTAGTTTGTGATGCGTGCCTTCAACTCACGGAGTTTAACCTTTCTTTTCATAGAGCAGTTTGGAAACACTCTCTTTGTAAAGTCTGCAAGTGGATATTTGGACCTCTTTGAGGCCTTCGTTGGAAACGGGATTTCTTCATATAACGCTAGACAGAAGAATTCTCAGTAACTTCTTTGTGTTGTGTGTATTCCACTCACAGAGTTGAACCTTTCTTGAGAGAGAGCAGAGTTGAAACACTCTTTCTGTGGAATTTGCTAGTGCAGATTTCAAACGCTTCGAAGACAGTGATAGAAAAGGATATATCTTCGTATTAAAACTAGACAAAATCATTCTCAGAAAACACTTTGTGATGTGTGTGTTCAACTCACAGAGTTTAACCTTTCTTTAATCGAGCAGTTTGGAAATACACTCTTTGTAAGTCTGCAGCTGGATAATTGTCCCTCTATGAGCCCTTCGTTGGAAACGGGATTTCCTCTTATAATGCTAGACAGAAGAATTCTCAGTAACTTCTTTGTGTTGTTTGTATTCAACTCACAGATTTGAACCTTCCTTTAGAGAGAGCAGATTTGAAACACTCTGTTTTTGGAATTTGCAAGTGCAGATTACAAGCGCTTCTAGGCCTATGGCAGAAAAGGAAATATCTTCGTATAAAAACTACACAGAATCATTCTCAACAACTACTTTGTGATGTGTGCGTACAACTCACAGAGTTTAACCTTTCTTTTCATAGAGCAGTTTGGAAACACTCTGTTTGTAAAGTTTGCAGGTGCTTATTTGGACTTCTTTGAGGCCTTCGTTGGAAACGGGATTTCTTCATATAATGCTAGACAGAAGAATTCTCAGTCACTTCTTTGTGTTGTGTGTATTCAAGTCACAGAGTTGAACCTTCCTTTAGACAGAGCAGTTTTGAAAAATTCTTTCTGTGGAGTTTGCAAGTGGAGATTTCAAGCGATTTGAGGCTAATCTTTGAAATGGAAATATCTTCGTGTAAAAACTACACAGAATCATTCTCAGAAACTGCTTTGTCATCTGTGCGTTCAGTTCACAGAGTTTCACCTTTCTCTTCATAGAGCAGTTTGGAAAGACTCTGTCTGTAAAGTCTGCAAGTGATTAGTTAGACCCCTTTGAGGCCTTCGTTGGAAGCGGGATTTCTCATTTACTGCTAGACAGAAGAATTCTCAGTAAATCCTTTGTGTTGTGTGTATTCAACTCACAGAGTGGAACCTTCCTTTATTCAGAGCAGTTTTGAAAAACACTTTTTGTGGAATTTGCAAGTGGAGATTTCAAGCGATTTGACGCCAATCTTAGACATGGAAATATCTTCATATTAAAAGTACACAGAGTCATTCGTAGAAACTAGTTTGTGATGTGTGCCTTCAACTCACAGAGTTTAACCTTTCTTTTCATAGAGCAGTTGGGAAACACTCTATTTGTAAAGTCTGCAAGTGGATATTTGGACCTCTTTGAGGCCTTCGTTGGAAACGGGATTTCTTCATACAACGCTAGACAGAAGAATTCTCAGTAACTTCTTTGTGTTGTGTGTATTCAACTCACAGAGTTGAACCTTTCTTTAGAGAGAGCAGAGTTGAAACACTCTGTTTTTGGAATTTGCAAGTGCAGATTTCAAGCGATTCTAGGCCTATGGCAGGAAAGGAAATATCTTCGTATAAAAACTACACAGAATCATTCTCAACAACTACTTTGTGATGTGTGCGTTCAACTCACAAAGTTTAACCTTTCTTTTCATAGAGCAGTTTGGAAACACGCTGTTTGCAAAGCCTGCAAGTGCTTTTTTGGACTTCATTGAGGCCTTCGTTGGAAACGGGATTTCTTCATATAATGCTAGACAGAAGAATTCTCAGTCACTTCTTTGTGTTGTGTGTATTCAAGTCACAGAGTTGAACCTTCTTTTAGACAGAGCAGTTTTGAAAAATTCTTTCTGTGGAATTTGCAATTGGAGATTTTAAGAGATTTGAGGCTAATCTTTGAAATGGAAATATTCTTCGTGTAAAAACTACACAGAATCATTCTCAGAAACTGCTTTGTCATCTGTGCGTTCAGTTCACAGAGTTTCACCTTTCTCTTCATAGAGCAGTTTGGAAAGACTCTGTCTGTAAAGTCTGCAAGTGATTAGTTAGACCCCTTTGAGGACTTCGTTGGAAGCGGGATTTCTCATTTACTGCTAGACAGAAGAATTCTCAGTAAATCCTTTGTGTTGTGTGTATTCAACTCACAGAGTGGAACCTTCCTTTATTCAGAGCAGTTTTGAAACACTCTTTTTGTGGAATTTGCAAGTGGAGATTTCAAGCGAATTCACGCCAATCTTAGACACGGAAACATCTTCGTATTAAAAGTACACAGAGTCATTCGCAGAAACTAGTTTGTGATGTGTGCCTTCAACTCACAGAGTTTAACCTTTCTTTTCATAGAGCAGTTTGGAAACACTCTATTTGTAAAGTCTGCAAGTGGATATTTGGACCTCTTTGAGGCCTTCGTTGGAAACGGGATTTCTTCATATAACGCTAGACAGAAGAATTCTCAGTCACTTCTTTGTGTTGTGTGTATTCAAGTCACAGATTTGAACCTTTCTTGAGAGAGAGCAGAGTTGAAACACTCTTTCTGTGGAATTTGCTAGTGCAGATTTCAAACGCTTCGAAGACAGTGATAGAAAAGGATATATCTTCGTATTAAAACTAGACAAAATCATTCTCAGAAAACACTTTGTGATGTGTGTGTTCAACTCACAGAGTTTAACCTTTCTTTAATCGAGCAGTTTGGAAATACACTCTTTGTAAGTCTGCAGCTGGATAATTGTCCCTCTATGAGCCCTTCGTTGGAAACGGGATTTCCTCATATAATGCTAGACAGAAGAATTCTCAGTAACTTCTTTGTGTTGTTTGTATTCAACTCACAGATTTGAACCTTCCTTTGGAGAGAGCAGATTTGAAACACTCTGTTTTTGGAATTTGCAAGTGCAGATTGCAAGCGCTTCTAGGCCTATGGCAGAAAAGGAAATATCTTCGTATAAAAACTACACAGAATCATTCTCAACAACTACTTTGTGATGTGTGCGTTCAGCTCACAGAGTTTAACCTTTCTTTTCATAGAGCAGTTTGGAAACACTCTGTTTGTAAAGTCTGCAGGTGCTTATTTGGACTTCTTTGAGGCCTTCGTTGGAAACGGGATTTCTTCATATAATGCTAGACAGAAGAATTCTCAGTCACTTCTTTGTGTTGTGTGGATTCAAGTCACAGAGTTGAACCTTCCTTTACACAGAGCAGTTTTGAAAAACTCTTTCTGTGGAATTTGCAAGTGGAGATTTCAAGCGATTTGAGGCTAATCTTTGAAATGGAAATATCTTCGTGTAAAAACTACACAGAATCATTCTCAGAAACTGCTTTGTTATGTGTGCGTTCAGCTCACAGAGTTCCACCTTTCTTTTCATAGAGCAGTTTGGAAAGACTCTGTCTGTAAAGTCTGCAAGTGATTACTTGGACCCCTTTGAGGACTTCGTTGGAAGCGGGATTTTTTCATTTACTGCCAGACAGAAGAATTCTCAGTAAATCCTTTGTGTTGTGTGTACTCAACTCACAGAGTGGAACCTTCCTTTATTCAGAGCAGTTTTGAAACACTCTTTTGGTGGAATTTGCAAGTGGAGATTTCAAGCGAATTCACGCCAATCTTAGACATGGAAACATCTTCGTATTAAAAGTACACAGAGTCATTCGCAGAAACTAGTTTGTGATGTGTGCCTTCAACTCACAGAGTTTAACCTTTCTTTTCATAGAGCAGTTTGGAAACACTCTATTTGTAAAGTCTGCAAGTGGATATTTGGACCTCTTTGAGGCCTTCGTTGGAAACGGGATTTCTTCATATAACGCTAGACAGAAGAATTCTCAGTAACTTCTTTGTGTTGTGTGTATTCCACTCACAGAGTTGAACCTTTCTTGAGAGAGAGCAGAGTTGAAACACTCTGTTTGTGGAATTTGCTAGTGCCGATTTCAAACGCTTCGAAGACAGTGATAGAAAAGGATATATCTTCGTATTTAAACTAGACAAAATCATTCTCAGAAAACACTTTGTGATGTGTGTGTTCAACTCACAGAGTTTAACCTTTCTTTAATCGAGCAGTTTGGAAATACACTCTTTGTAAGTCTGCAGCTGGATAATTGTCCCTCTAGGAGCCCTTCGTTGGAAACGGGATTTCCTCTTATAATGCTAGACAGAAGAATTCTCAGTCACTTCTTTGTGTTGTGTGTATTCAAGTCACAGAGTTGAACCTTCCTTTAGACAGAGCAGTTTTGAAAAGTTCTTTCTGTGTAATTTGCAAGTGGAGATTTCAAGCGATTTGAGGCTAATCTTTGAAATGGAAATATCTTCGTGTAAAAACTACACAGAATCATTCTCAGAAACTGCTTTGTCATCTGTGCGTTCAGTTCACAGAGTTTCACCTTTCTCTTCATAGAGCAGTTTGGAAAGACTCTGTCTGTAAAGTCTGCAAGTGATTAGTTAGACCCCTTTGAGGCCTTCGTTGGAAGCGGGATTTCTCATTTACTGCTAGACAGAAGAATTCTCAGTAAATCCTTTGTGTTGTGTGTATTCAACTCACAGAGTGGAACCTTCCTTTATTCAGAGCAGTTTTGAAACACTCTTTTTGTGGAATTTGCAAGTGGAGATTTCAAGCGATTTGACGCCAATCTTAGACATGGAAATATCTTCATATTAAAAGTACACAGAGTCATTCGTAGAAACTAGTTTGTGATGTGTGCCTTCAACTCACAGAGTTTAACCTTTCTTTTCATAGAGCAGTTGGGAAACACTCTATTTGTAAAGTCTGCAAGTGGATATTTGGACCTCTTTGAGGCCTTCGTTGGAAACGGGATTTCTTCATATAACGCTAGACAGAAGAATTCTCAGTAACTTCTTTGTGTTGTGTGTATTCAACTCACAGAGTTGAACCTTTCTTTAGAGGGAGCAGAGGTGAAACACTCTTTTTGTGGAATTTGCTAGTGTAGATTTCAAACGCTTCGAAGACAGTGATAGAAAAGGATATATCTTCGTATTAAAAGTAGACAAAATCATTCTCAGAAAACTCTTTGTGATGTGTGTGTTCAACTCACAGAGTTTAACCTTTCTTTAATCGAGCAGTTTGGAAATACACTCTTTGTAAGTCTGCAGGTGGATATTTGGCCCTCTTTGAGCCCTTCGTTGGAAACGGGATTTCCTCATATAATGCTAGACAGAAGAATTCTGAGTAACTTCTTTGTGTTGTTTGTATTCAACACACAGATTTGAACCTTCCTTTAGAGAGAGCAGATTTGAAACACTCTGTTTTTGGAATTTGCAAGTGCAGATTTCAAGCGCTTCTAGGCCTATGGCAGAAAAGGAAATATCTTCGTATAAAAACTACACAGAATCATTCTCAACAACTACTTTGTGATGTGTGCGTTCAACTCACAGAGTTTAACCTTTCTTTTCATAGAGCAGTTTGGAAACACTCTGTTTGTAAAGCCTGCAAGTGCTTTTTTGGACTTCATTGAGGCCTTCGTTGGAAACGGGATTTCTTCATATAATGCTAGACAGAAGAATTCTCAGTCACTTCTTTGTGTTGTGTGTATTCAAGTCACAGAGTTGAACCTTCCTTTAGACAGAGCAGTTTTGAAAAATTCTTTCTGTGTAATTTGCAAGTGGAGATTTCAAGCGATTTGAGGCTAATCTTTGAAATGGAAATATCTTCGTGTAAAAACTACACAGAATCATTCTCAGAAACTGCTTTGTCATCTGTGCGTTCAGTTCACAGAGTTTCACCTTTCTCTTCATAGAGCAGTTTGGAAAGACTCTGTCTGTAAAGTCTGCAAGTGATTAGTTAGACCCCTTTGAGGCCTTCGTTGGAAGCGGGATTTCTCATTTACTGCTAGACAGAAGAATTCTCAGTAAATCCTTTGTGTTGTGTGTATTCAACTCACAGAGTGGAACCTTCCTTTATTCAGAGCAGTTTTGAAACACTCTTTTTGTGGAATTTGCAAGTGGAGATTTCAAGCGATTTGACGCCAATCTTAGACATGGAAATATCTTCATATTAAAAGTACACAGAGTCATTCGTAGAAACTAGTTTGTGATGTGTGCCTTCAACTCACAGAGTTTAACCTTTCTTTTCATAGAGCAGTTTGGAAACACTCTATTTGTAAAGTCTGCAAGTGGATATTTGGGACCTCTTTGAGGCCTTCGTTGGAAACGGGATTTCTTCATACAACGCTAGACAGAAGAATTCTCAGTAACTTCTTTGTGTTGTGTGTATTCAACTCACAGAGTTGAACCTTTCTTTAGAGAGAGCAGAGTTGAAACACTCTGTTTTTGGAATTTGCAAGTGCAGATTTCAAGCGCTTCTAGGCCTATGGCAGAAAAGGAAATATCTTCGTATAAAAACTACACAGAATCATTCTCAACAACTACTTTGTGATGTGTGCGTTCAACTCACAGAGTTTAACCTTTCTTTTCATAGAGCAGTTTGGAAACACTCTGTTTGTAAAGCCTGCAAGTGCTTTTTTGGACTTCATTGAGGCCTTCGTTGGAAACGGGATTTCTTCATATAATGCTAGACAGAAGAATTCTCAGTCACTTCTTTGTGTTGTGTGTATTCAAGTCACAGAGTTGAACCTTCTTTTAGACAGAGCAGTTTTGAAAAATTCTTTCTGTGGAATTTGCAAGTGGAGATTTCAAGCGATTTGAGGCTAATCTTTGAAATGGAAATATCTTCGTGTCAAAACTACACAGAATCATTCTCAGAAACTGCTTTGTTATCTGTGCGTTAAGTTCACAGAGTTTCACCTTTCTCTTCATAGAGCAGTTTGGAAAGACTCTGTCTGTAAAGTCTGCAAGTGATTAGTTAGACCCCTTTGAGGCCTTCGTTGGAAGCGGGATTTCTCATTTACTGCTAGACAGAAGAATTCTCAGTAAATCCTTTGTGTTGTGTGTATTCAACTCACAGAGTGGAACCTTCCTTTATTCAGAGCAGTTTTGAAAAACACTTTTTGTGGAATTTGCAAGTGGAGATTTCAAGCGATTTGACGCCAATCTTAGACATGGAAAAATCTTCATATTAAAAGTACACAGAGTCATTCGTAGAAACTAGTTTGTGATGTGTGCCTTCAACTCACAGAGTTTAACTTTTCTTTTCATAGAGCAGTTTGGAAACACTCTATTTGTAAAGTCTGCAAGTGGATATTTGGACCTCTTTGAGGCCTTCGTTGGAAACGGGATTTCTTCATACAACGCTAGACAGAAGAATTCTCAGTAACTTCTTTGTGTTGTGTGTATTCAACTCACAGAGTTGAACCTTTCTTTAGAGAGAGCAGAGTTGAAACACTCTGTTTTTGGAATTTGCAAGTGCAGATTTCAAGCCATTCTAGGCCTATGGCAGAAAAGGAAATATCTTCGTATAAAAACTACACAGAATCATTCTCAACAACTACTTTGTGATGTGTGCGTTCAACTCACAAAGTTTAACCTTTCTTTTCATAGAGAAGTTTGGAAACACTCTGTTTGTAAAGCCTGCAAGTGCTTTTTTGGACTTCATTGAGGCCTTCGTTGGAAACGGGATTTCTTCATATAATGCTAGACAGAAGAATTCTCAGTAAGTCCTTTGTGTTGTGTTTATTCAACTCACAGAGTGGAACCTTCCTTTATTCAGAGCAGTTTTGAAACACTCCTTTTGTGGAATTTGCAAGTGGAGATTTCAAGCGATTTGACGCCAATCTTAGACATGGAAATATCTTCATATTAAAAGTACACAGAGTCATTTGCAGAAACTAGTTTGTGATGTGTGCCTTCAACTCACGGAGTTTAACCTTTCTTTTCATAGAGCAGTTTGGAAACACTCTATTTGTAAAGTCTGCAAGTGGATATTTGGACCTCTTTGAGGCCTTCGTTGGAAACGGGATTTCTTCATATAACGCTAGACAGAAGAATTCTCAGTAACTTCTTTGTGTTGTGTGTATTCAACTCACAGAGTTGAACCTTTCTTGAGAGAGAGCAGAGTTGAAACACTCTGTTTGTGGAATTTGCTAGTGCAGATTTCAAACGCTTCGAAGACAGTGATAGAAAAGGATATATCTTCGTATTAAAACTAGACAAAATCATTCTCAGAAAACACTTTGTGATGTGTGTGTTCAACTCACAGAGTTTAACCTTTCTTTAATCGAGCAGTTTGGAAATACACTCTTTGTAAGTCTGCAGCTGGATAATTGTCCCTCTATGAGCCCTTCGTTGGAAACGGGATTTCCTCTTATAATGCTAGACAGAAGAATTCTCAGTAACTTCTTTGTGTTGTTTGTATTCAACTCACAGATTTGAACCTTCCTTTGGAGAGAGCAGATTTGAAACACTCTGTTTTTGGAATTTGCAAGTGCAGATTGCAAGCGCTTCTAGGCCTATGGCAGAAAAGGAAATATCTTCGTATAAAAACTACACAGAATCATTCTCAACAACTACTTTGTGATGTGTGCGTTCAACTCACAGAGTTTAACCTTTCTTTTCATAGAGCAGTTTGGAAACACTCTGTTTGTAAAGTCTGCAGGTGCTTATTTGGACTTCTTTGAGGCCTTCGTTGGAAACGGGATTTCTTCATATAATGCTAGACAGAAGAATTCTCAGTCACTTCTTTGTGTTGTGTGTATTCAAGTCACAGAGTTGAACCTTCCTTTACACAGAGCAGTTTTGAAAAACTCTTTCTGTGGAATTTGCAAGTGGAGATTTCAAGCGATTTGAGGCTAATCTTTGAAATGGAAATATCTTCGTGTAAAAACTACACAGAATCATTCTCAGAAACTGCTTTGTTATGTGTGCGTTCAGCTCACAGAGTTCCACCTTTCTTTTCATAGAGCAGTTTGGAAAGACTCTGTCTGTAAAGTCTGCAAGTGATTACTTGGACCCCTTTGAGGACTTCGTTGGAAGCGGGATTTTTTCATTTACTGCTAGACAGAAGAATTCTCAGTAAATCCTTTGTGTTGTGTGTATTCAACTCACAGAGTGGAACCTTCCTTTATTCAGAGCAGTTTTGAAACACTCTTTTTGTGGAATTTGCAAGTGGAGATTTCAAGCGAATTCACGCCAATCTTAGACATGGAAACATCTTCGTATTAAAAGTACACAGAGTCATTCGCAGAAACTAGTTTGTGATGTGTGCCTTCAACTCACGGAGTTTAACCTTTCTTTTCATAGAGCAGTTTGGAAACACTCTATTTGTAAAGTCTGCAAGTGGATATTTGGACCTCTTTGAGGCCTTCGTTGGAAACGGGATTTCTTCATATAATGCTAGACAGAAGAATTCTCAGTCACTTCTTTGTGTTGTGTGTATTCAAGTCACAGAGTTGAACCTTCCTTTACACAGAGCAGTTTTGAAAAACTCTTTCTGTGGAATTTGCAAGTGGAGATTTCAAGCGATTTGAGGCTAATCTTTGAAATGGAAATATCTTCGTGTAAAAACTACACAGAATCATTCTCAGAAACTGCTTTGTTATGTGTGCGTTCAGCTCACAGAGTTCCACCTTTCTTTTCATAGAGCAGTTTGGAAAGACTCTGTCTGTAAAGTCTGCAAGTGATTACTTGGACCCCTTTGAGGACTTCGTTGGAAGCGGGATTTTTTCATTTACTGCTAGACAGAAGAATTCTCAGTAAATCCTTTGTGTTGTGTGTATTCAACTCACAGAGTGGAACCTTCCTTTATTCAGAGCAGTTTTGAAACACTCTTTTTGTGGAATTTGCAAGTGGAGATTTCAAGCGAATTCACGAAAATCTTAGACATGGAAACATCTTCGTATTAAAAGTACACAGAGTCATTCGCAGAAACTAGTTTGTGTTGTGTGCCTTCAACTCACAGAGTTTAACCTTTCTTTTCATAGAGCATTTTGGAAACACTCTATTTGTAAAGTCTGCAAGTGGATATTTGGACGTCTTTGAGGCCTTCGTTGGAAACGGGATTTCTTCATGTAACGCTAGACAGAAGAATTCTCAGTAACTTCTTTGTGTTGTGTGTATTCAACTCACAGAGTTGAACCTTTCTTGAGAGAGAGCAGAGTTGAAACACTCTGTTTGTGGAATTTACCAGTGCAGATTTCAAACGCCTCGAAGACAGTGATAGAAAAGGATATATCTTCGTATTAAAACTAGACAAAATCATTCTCAGAAAACACTTTGTGATGTGTGTGTTCAACTCACAGAGTTTAACCTTTCTTTAATCGAGCAGTTTGGAAATACACTCTTTGTAAGTCTGCAGCTGGATAATTGTCCCTCTATGAGCCCTTCGTTGGAAACGGGATTTCCTCATATAATGCTAGACAGAAGAATTCTCAGTAACTTCTTTGTGTTGTTTGTATTCAACTCACAGATTTGAACCTTCCTTTGGAGAGAGCAGATTTGAAACACTCTGTTTTTGGAATTTGCAAGTGCAGATTGCAAGCGCTTCTAGGCCTATGGCAGAAAAGGAAATATCTTCGTATAAAAACTACACAGAATCATTCTCAACAACTACTTTGTGATGTGTGCGTTCAGCTCACAGAGTTTAACCTTTCTTTTCATAGAGCAGTTTGGAAACACTCTGTTTGTAAAGTCTGCAGGTGCTTATTTGGACTTCTTTGAGGCCTTCGTTCGAAACGGGATTTCTTCATATAATGCTAGACAGAAGAATTCTCAGTCACTTCTTTGTGTTGTGTGTATTCAAGTCACAGAGTTGAACCTTCCTTTACACAGAGCAGTTTTGAAAAACTCTTTCAGTGGAATTTGCAAGTGGAGATTTCAAGCGATTTGAGGCTAATACTTTGAAATGGAAATATCTTCGTGTAAAAACTACACAGAATCATTCTCAGAAACTGCTTTGTTATGTGTGCGTTCAGCTCACAGAGTTCCACCTTTCTTTTCATAGAGCAGTTTGGAAAGACTCTGTCTGTAAAGTCTGCAAGTGATTACTTGGACCCCTTTGAGGACTTCGTTGGAAGCGGGATTTTTTCATTTACTGCTAGACAGAAGAATTCTCAGTAAATCCTTCGTGTTGTGTGTATTCAACTCACAGAGTGGAACCTTCCTTTATTCAGAGCAGTTTTGAAACACTCTTTTTGTGGAATTTGCAAGTGGAGATTTCAAGCGAATTCACGCCAATCTTAGACATGGAAACATCTTCGTATTAAAAGTACACAGAGTCATTCGCAGAAACTAGTTTGTGATGTGTGCCTTCAACTCACAGAGTTTAACCTTTCTTTTCATAGAGCAGTTTGGAAACACTCTATTTGTAAAGTCTGCAAGTGGATATTTGGACCTCTTTGAGGCCTTCGTTGGAAACGGGATTTCTTCATATAACGCTAGACAGAAGAATTCTCAGTAACTTCTTTGTGTTGTGTGTATTCCACTCACAGTAGTTGAACCTTTCTTGAGAGAGAGCAGAGTTGAAACACTCTGTTTGTGGAATTTGCTAGTGCAGATTTCAAACGCTTCGAAGACAGTGATAGAAAAGGATATATCTTCGTATTAAAACTAGACAAAATCATTCTCAGAAAACACTTTGTGATGTGTGTGTTCAACTCACAGAGTTTAACCTTTCTTTAATCGAGCAGTTTGGAAATACACTCTTTGTAAGTCTGCAGCTGGATAATTGTCCCTCTATGAGCCCTTCGTTGGAAACGGGATTTCCTCTTATAATGCTAGACAGAAGAATTCTCAGTAACTTCTTTGTGTTGTTTGTATTCAACTCACAGATTTGAACCTTCCTTTAGAGAGAGCAGATTTGAAACACTCTGTTTTTGGAATTTGCAAGTGCAGATTACAAGCGCTTCTAGGCCTATGGCAGAAAAGGAAATATCTTCGTATAAAAACTACACAGAATCATTCTCAACAACTACTTTGTGATGTGTGCGTTCAACTCACAGAGTTTAACCTTTCTTTTCATAGAGCAGTTTGGAAACACTCTGTTTGTAAAGTCTGCAGGTGCTTATTTGGACTTCTTTGAGGCCTTCGTTGGAAACGGGATTTCTTCATGTAATGCTAGACAGAAGAATTCTCAGTCACTTCTTTGTGTTGTGTGTATTCAAGTCACAGAGTTGAACCTTCCTTTACACAGAGCAGTTTTGAAAAACTCTTTCTGTGGAATTTGCAAGTGGAGATTTCAAGCGATTTGAGGCTAATCTTTGAAATGGAAATAGCTTCGTGTAAAAACTACACAGAATCATTCTCAGAAACTGCTTTGTTATGTGTGCGTTCAGCTCACAGAGTTCCACCTTTCTTTTCATAGAGCAGTTTGGAAAGACTCTGTCTGTAAAGTCTGCAAGTGATTACTTGGACCCTTTTGAGGACTTCGTTGGAAGCGGGATTTTTTCATTTACTGCTAGACAGAAGAATTCTCAGTAAATCCTTTGTGTTGTGTGTATTCAACTCACAGAGTGGAACCTTCCTTTATTCAGAGCAGTTTTGAAACACTCTTTTTGTGGAATTTGCAAGTGGAGATTTCAAGCGAATTCACGCCAATCTTAGACATGGAAACATCTTCGTATTAAAAGTACACAGAGTCATTCGCAGAAACTAGTTTGTGATGTGTGCCTTCAACTCACGGAGTTTAACCTTTCTTTTCATAGAGCAGTTTGGAAACACTCTATTTGTAAAGTCTGCAAGTGGATATTTGGACCTCTTTGAGGCCTTCGTTGGAAACGGGATTTCTTCATATAACGCTAGACAGAAGAATTCTCAGTAACTTCTTTGTGTTGTGTGTATTCAACTCACAGAGTTGAACCTTTCTTGAGAGAGAGCAGAGTTGAAACACTCTGTTTGTGGAATTTGCTAGTGCAGATTTCAAACGCTTCGAAGACAGTGATAGAAAAGGATATATCTTCGTATTAAAACTAGACAAAATCATTCTCAGAAAACACTTTGTGATGTGTGTGTTCAACTCACAGAGTTTAACCTTTCTTTAATCGAGCAGTTTGGAAATACACTCTTTGTAAGTCTGCAGCTGGATAATTGTCCCTCTATGAGCCCTTCGTTGGAAACGGGATTTCCTCTTATAATGCTAGACAGAAGAATTCTCAGTAACTTCTTTGTGTTGTTTGTATTCAACTCACAGATTTGAACCTTCCTTTAGAGAGAGCAGATTTGAAACACTCTGTTTTTGGAATTTGCAAGTGCAGATTACAAGCGCTTCTAGGCCTATGGCAGAAAAGGAAATATCTTCGTATAAAAACTACACAGAATCATTCTCAACAACTACTTTGTGATGTGTGCGTTCAACTCACAGAGTTTAACCTTTCTTTTCATAGAGCAGTTTGGAAACACTCTGTTTGTAAAGTCTGCAGGTGCTTATTTGGACTTCTTTGAGGCCTTCGTTGGAAACGGGATTTCTTCATATAATGCTAGACAGAAGAATTCTCAGTCACTTCTTTGTGTTGTGTGTATTCAAGTCACAGAGTTGAACCTTCCTTTACACAGAGCAGTTTTGAAAAACTCTTTCTGTGGAATTTGCAAGTGGAGATTTCAAGCGATTTGAGGCTAATCTTTGAAATGGAAATAGCTTCGTGTAAAAACTACACAGAATCATTCTCAGAAACTGCTTTGTTATGTGTGCGTTCAGCTCACAGAGTTCCACCTTTCTTTTCATAGAGCAGTTTGGAAAGACTCTGTCTGTAAAGTCTGCAAGTGATTACTTGGACCCCTTTGAGGACTTCGTTGGAAGCGGGATTTTTTCATTTACTGCTAGACAGAAGAATTCTCAGTAAATCCTTTGTGTTGTGTGTATTCAACTCACAGAGTGGAACCTTCCTTTATTCAGAGCAGTTTTGAAACACTCTTTTTGTGGAATTTGCAAGTGGAGATTTCAAGCGAATTCACGCCCATCTTAGACATGGAAACATCTTCGTATTAAAAGTACACAGAGTCATTCGCAGAAACTAGTTTGTGATGTGTGCCTTCAACTCACAGAGTTTAACCTTTCTTTTCATAGAGCAGTTTGGAAACACTCTATTTGTAAAGTCTGCAAGTGGATATTTGGACCTCTTTGAGGCCTTCGTTGGAAACGGGATTTCTTCATATAACGCTAGACAGAAGAATTCTCAGTAACTTCTTTGTGTTGTGTGTATTCCACTCACAGAGTTGAACCTTTCTTGAGAGAGAGCAGAGTTGAAACACTCTGTTTGTGGAATTTGCTAGTGCAGATTTCAAACGCTTCGAAGACAGTGATAGAAAAGGATATATCTTCATATTAAAACTAGACAAAATCATTCTCAGAAAACACTTTGTGATGTGTGTGTTCAACTCACAGAGTTTAACCTTTCTTTAATCGAGCAGTTTGGAAATACACTCTTTGTAAGTCTGCAGCTGGATAATTGTCCCTCTATGAGCCCTTCGTTGGAAACGGGATTTCCTCTTATAATGCTAGACAGAAGAATTCTCAGTAACTTCTTTGTGTTGTTTGTATTCAACTCACAGATTTGAACCTTCCTTTAGAGAGAGCAGATTTGAAACACTCTGTTTTTGGAATTTGCAAGTGCAGATTACAAGCGCTTCTAGGCCTATGGCAGAAAAGGAAATATCTTCGTATAAAAACTACACAGAATCATTCTCAACAACTACTTTGTGATGTGTGCGTTCAACTCACAGAGTTTAACCTTTCTTTTCATAGAGCAGTTTGGAAACACTCTGTTTGTAAAGTCTGCAGGTGCTTATTTGGACTTCTTTGAGGCCTTTGTTGGAAACGGGATTTCTTCATATAATGCTAGACAGAAGAATTCTCAGTCACTTCTTTGTGTTGTGTGTATTCAAGTCACAGAGTTGAACCTTCCTTTACACAGAGCAGTTTTGAGAAACTCTTTCTGTGGAATTTGCAAGTGGAGATTTCAAGCGATTTGAGGCTAATCTTTGAAATGGAAATAGCTTCGTGCAAAAACTACACAGAATCATTCTCAGAAACTGCTTTGTTATGTGTGCGTTCAGCTCACAGAGTTCCACCTTTCTTTTCATAGAGCAGTTTGGAAAGACTCCGTCTGTAAAGTCTGCAAGTGATTACTTGGACCCCTTTGAGGACTTCGTTGGAAGCGGGATTTTTTCATTTACTGCTAGACAGAAGAATTCTCAGTAAATCCTTTGTGTTGTGTGTATTCAACTCACAAAGTGGAACCTTCCTTTATTCAGAGCAGTTTTGAAACACTCTTTTGGTGGAATTTGCAAGTGGAGATTTCAAGCGAATTCACGCCAATCTTAGACATGGAAACATCTTCGTATTAAAAGTACACAGAGTCATTCGCAGAAACTAGTTTGTGATGTGTGCCTTCAACTCACGGAGTTTAACCTTTCTTTTCATAGAGCAGTTTGGAAACACTCTATTTGTAAAGTCTGCAAGTGGATATTTGGACCTCTTTGAGGCCTTCGTTGGAAACGGGATTTCTTCATATAACGCTAGACAGAAGAATTCTCAGTAACTTCTTTGTGTTGTGTGTATTCAACTCACAGAGTTGAACCTTTCTTTAGAGGGAGCAGAGGTGAAACACTCTTTTTGTGGAATTTGCTAGTGTAGATTTCAAACGCTTCGAAGACAGTGATAGAAAAGGATATATCTTCGTATTAAAAGTAGACAAAATCATTCTCAGAAAACTCTTTGTGATGTGTGTGTTCAACTCACAGAGTTTAACCTTTCTTTAATCGAGCAGTTTGGAAATACACTCTTTGTAAGTCTGCAGGTGGATATTTGGCCCTCTTTGAGCCCTTCGTTGGAAACGGGATTTCCTCATATAATGCTAGACAGAAGAATTCTCAGTAACTTCTTTGTGTTGTTTGTATTCAACACACAGATTTGAACCTTCCTTTAGAGAGAGCAGATTTGAAACACTCTGTTTTTGGAATTTGCAAGTGCAGATTTCAAGCGCTTCTAGGCCTATGGCAGAAAAGGAAATATCTTCATATAAAAACTACACAGAATCATTCTCAACAACTACTTTGTGATGTGTGCGTTCAACTCACAGAGTTTAACCTTTCTTTTCATAGAGCAGTTTGGAAACACTCTGTTTGTAAAGCCTGCAAGTGCTTTTTTGCACTTCATTGAGGCCTTCGTTGGAAACGGGATTTCTTCATATAATGCTAGACAGAAGAATTCTCAGTCACTTCTTTGTGTTGTGTGTATTCAAGTCACAGAGTTGAACCTTCCTTTAGACAGAGCAGTTTTGAAAAATTCTTTCTGTGGAGTTTGCAAGTGGAGATTTCAAGCGATTTGAGGCTAATCTTTGAAATGGAAATATCTTCGTGTAAAAACTACACAGAATCATTCTCAGAAACTGCTTTGTCATCTGTGCGTTCAGTTCACAGAGTTTCACCTTTCTCTTCATAGAGCAGTTTGGAAAGACTCTGTCTGTAAGTCTGCAAGTGATTAGTTAGACCCCTTTGAGGCCTTCGTTGGAAGCGGGATTTCTCATTTACTGCTAGACAGAAGAATTCTCAGTAACTTCTTTGTGTTGTGTGTATTCAACTCACAGAGTTGAACCTTTCTTTACAGAGAGCAGAGTTGAAACACTCTGTTTTTGGAATTTGCAAGTGCAGATTTCAAGCGATTCTAGGCCTATGGCAGAAAAGGAAATATCTTCGTATAAAAACTACACAGAATCATTCTCAACAACTACTTTGTGATGTGTGCGTTCAACTCACAGAGTTTAACCTTTCTTTTCATAGAGCAGTTTGGAAACACTCTGTTTGTAAAGCCTGCAAGTGCTTTTCCGGACTTCATTGAGGCCTTCGTTGGAAACGGGATTTCTTCATATAATGCTAGACAGAAGAATTCTCAGTCACTCTTTGTGTTGTGTGTATTCAAGTCACAGAGTTGAACCTTCCTTTACACAGAGCAGTTTTGAAAAACTCTTTCTGTGGAATTTGCAAGTGGAGATTTCAAGCGATTTGAGGCTAATCTTTGAAATGGAAATATCTTCGTGTAAAAACTACACAGAATCATTCTCAGAAACTGCTTTGTCATCTGTGCGTTCAGTTCACAGAGTTTCACCTTTCTCTTCATAGAGCAGTTTGGAAAGACTCTGTCTGTAAAGTCGGCAAGTGATTAGTTAGACCCCTTTGAGGCCTTCGTTGGAAGTGGGATTTCTCATTTACTGCTAGACAGAAGAATTCTCAGTAAATCCTTTGTGTTGTGTGTATTCAACTCACAGAGTGGAACCTTCCTTTATTCAGAGCAGTTTTCAAACACTCTTTTTGTGGAATTTGCAAGTGGAGATTTCAAGCGATTTGACGCCAATCTTAGACATGGAAATATCTTCATATTAAAAGTACACAGAGTCATTCGTAGAAACTAGTTTGTGATGTGTGCCTTCAACTCACAGAGTTTAACCTTTCTTTTCATAGAGCAGTTGGGAAACACTCTATTTGTAAAGTCTGCAAGTGGATATTTGGACCTCTTTGAGGCCTTCGTTGGAAACGGGATTTCTTCATATAACGCTAGACAGAAGAATTCTCAGTAACTTCTTTGTGTTGTGTGTATTCAACTCACAGAGTTGAACCTTTCTTTAGAGGGAGCAGAGGTGAAACACTCTTTTTGTGGAATTTGCTAGTGTAGATTTCAAACGCTTCGAAGACAGTGATAGAAAAGGATATATCTTCGTATTAAAAGTAGACAAAATCATTCTCAGAAAACTCTTTGTGATGTGTGTGTTCAACTCACAGAGTTTAACCTTTCTTTAATCGAGCAGTTTGGAAATACACTCTTTGTAAGTCTGCAGGTGGATATTTGGCCCTCTTTGAGCCCTTCGTTGGAAACGGGATTTCCTCATATAATGCTAGACAGAAGAATTCTCAGTAACTTCTTTGTGTTGTTTGTATTCAACACACAGATTTGAACCTTCCTTTAGAGAGAGCAGATTTGAAACACTCTGTTTTTGGAATTTGCAAGTGCAGATTTCAAGCGCTTCTAGGCCTATGGCAGAAAAGGAAATATCTTCGTATAAAAACTACACAGAATCATTCTCAACAACTACTTTGTGATGTGTGCCTTCAACTCACAGAGTTTAACCTTTCTTTTCATAGAGCAGTTTGGAAACACTCTGTTTGTAAAGCCTGCAAGTGCTTTTTTGGACTTCATTGAGGCCTTCGTTGGAAACGGGATTTCTTCATATAATGCTAGACAGAAGAATTCTCAGTCACTTCTTTGTGTTGTGTGTATTCAAGTCACAGAGTTGAACCTTCCTTTAGACAGAGCAGTTTTGAAAAATTCTTTCTGTGGAGTTTGCAAGTGGAGATTTCAAGCGATTTGAGGCTAATCTTTGAAATGGAAATATCTTCGTGTAAAAACTACACAGAAGCATTCTCAGAAACTGCTTTGTCATCTGTGCGTTCAGTTCACAGAGTTTCACCTTTCTCTTCATAGAGCAGTTTGGAAAGATTCTGTCTGTAAAGTCTGCAAGTGATTAGTTAGACCCCTTTGAGGCCTTCGTTGGAAGCGGGATTTCTCATTTACTGCTAGACAGAAGAATTCTCAGTAAATCCTTTGTGTTGTGTGTATTCAACTCACAGAGTGGAACCTTCCTTTATTCAGAGCAGTTTTGAAAAACACTTTTTGTGGAATTTGCAAGTGGAGATTTCAAGCGATTTGACGCCAATCTTAGACATGGAAATATCTTCATATTAAAAGTACACAGATTCATTCGTAGAAACTAGTTTGTGATGTGTGCCTTCAACTCACAGAGTTTAACCTTTCTTTTCATAGAGCAGTTTGGAAACACTCTATTTGTAAAGTCTGCAAGTGGATATTTGGACCTCTTTGAGGCCTTCGTTGGAAACGGGATTTCTTCATATAACGCTAGACAGAAGAATTCTCAGTAACTTCTTTGTGTTGTGTGTATTCAACTCACCGAGTTGAACCTTTCTTTAGAGAGAGCAGAGTTGAAACACTCTTCTTGCGGAATTTGCTAGTGCAGATTTCCAACGCTTCGAAGACAGTGATAGAAAAGGATATATCTTCGTATTAAAACTAGACAAAATCATTCTCAACAACTACTTTGTGATGTGTGCGTTCAACTCACAGAGTTTAACCTTTCTTTTCATAGAGCAGTTTGGAAACACTCTGTTTGTAAAGTCTGCAGGTGCTTATTTGGACTTCTTTGAGGCCTTCGTTGGAAACGGGATTTCTTCATATAATGCTAGACAGAAGAATTCTCAGTCACTTCTTTGTGTTGTGTGTATTCAAGTCACAGAGTTGAACCTTCCTTTACACAGAGCAGTTTTGAAAAACTCTTTCTGTGGAATTTGCAAGTGGAGATTTCAAGCGATTTGAGGCTAATCTTTGAAATGGAAATAGCTTCGTGTAAAAACTACACAGAATCATTCTCAGAAACTGCTTTGTTATGTGTGCGTTCAGCTCACAGAGTTTCACCTTTCTTTTCATAGAGCAGTTTGGAAAGACACTGTCTGTAAAGTCTGCAAGTGATTACTTGGACCCCTTTGAGGACTTCGTTGGAAGCGGGATTTTTTCATTTACTGCTAGACAGAAGAATTCTCAGTAAATCCTTTGTGTTGTGTGTATTCAACTCACAGAGTGGAACCTTCCTTTATTCAGAGCACATTTGAAACACTCTTTTTGTGGAATTTGCAAGTGGAGATTTCAAGCGAATTCACGCCAATCTTAGACATGGAAACATCTTCGTATTAAAAGTACACAGAGTCATTCACAGAAACTAGTTTGTGATGTGTGCCTTCAACTCACGGAGTTTAACCTTTCTTTTCATAGAGCAGTTTGGAAACACTCTATTTGTAAAGTCTGCAAGTGGATATTTGGACCTCTTTGAGGCCTTCGTTGGAAACGGGATTTCTTCATATAACGCTAGACAGAAGAATTCTCAGTAACTTCTTTGTGTTGTGTGTATTCAACTCACAGAGTTGAACCTTTCTTGAGAGAGAGCAGAGTTGAAACACTCTGTTTGTGGAATTTGCTAGTGCAGATTTCAAACGCTTCGAAGACAGTGATAGAAAAGGATATATCTTCGTATTAAAACTAGACAAAATCATTCTCAGAAAACACTCTGTGATGTGTGTGTTCAACTCACAGAGTTTAACCTTTCTTTAATCGAGCAGTTTGGAAATACACTCTTTGTAAGTCTGCAGCTGGATAATTGTCCCTCTATGAGCCCTTCGTTGGAAACGGGATTTCCTCTTATAATGCTAGACAGAAGAATTCTCAGTAACTTCTTTGTGTTGTTTGTATTCAACTCACAGATTTGAACCTTCCTTTAGAGAGAGCAGATTTGAAACACTCTGTTTTTGGAATTTGCAAGTGCAGATTACAAGCGCTTCTAGGCCTATGGCAGAAAAGGAAATATCTTCGTATAAAAACTACACAGAATCATTCTCAACAACTACTTTGTGATGTGTGCGTTCAACTCACAGAGTTTAACCTTTCTTTTCATAGAGCAGTTTGGAAACACTCTGTTTGTAAAGTCTGCAGGTGCTTATTTGGACTTCTTTGAGGCCTTCGTTGGAAACGGGATTTCTTCATGTAATGCTAGACAGAAGAATTCTCAGTCACTTCTTTGTGTTGTGTGTATTCAAGTCACAGAGTTGAACCATCCTTTACACAGAGCAGTTTTGAAAAACTCTTTCTGTGGAATTTGCAAGTGGAGATTTCAAGCGATTTGAGGCTAATCTTTGAAATGGAAATAGCTTCGTGTAAAAACTACACAGAATCATTCTCAGAAACTGCTTTGTTATGTGTGCGTTCAGCTCACAGAGTTCCACCTTTCTTTTCATAGAGCAGTTTGGAAAGACTCTGTCTGTAAAGTCTGCAAGTGATTACTTGGACCCCTTTGAGGACTTCGTTGGAAGCGGGATTTTTTCATTTACTGCTAGACAGAAGAATTCTCAGTAAATCCTTTGTGTTGTGTGTATTCAACTCACAGAGTGGAACCTTCCTTTATTCAGAGCAGTTTTGAAACACTCTTTTTGTGGAATTTGCAAGTGGAGATTTCAAGCGAATTCACGCCAATCTTAGACATGGAAACATCTTCGTATTAAAAGTACACAGAGTCATTCGCAGAAACTAGTTTGTGATGTGTGCCTTCAACTCACGGAGTTTAACCTTTCTTTTCATAGAGCAGTTTGGAAACACTCTATTTGTAAAGTCTGCAAGTGGATATTTGGACCTCTTTGAGGCCTTCGTTGGAAACGGGATTTCTTCATATAACGCTAGACAGAGAATTCTCAGTAACTTCTTTGTGTTGTGTGTATTCAACTCACAGAGTTGAACCTTTCTTTAGAGGGAGCAGTGGTGAAACACTCTTTTTGTGGAATTTGCTAGTGTAGATTTCAAACGCTTCGAAGACAGTGATAGAAAAGGATATATCTTCGTATTAAAAGTAGACAAAATCATTCTCAGAAAACACTTTGTGATGTGTGTGTTCAACTCACAGAGTTTAACCTTTCTTTAATCGAGCAGTTTGGAAATACACTCTTTGTAAGTCTGCAGCTGGATAATTGTCCCTCTATGAGCCCTTCGTTGGAAACAGGATTTCCTCTTATAATGCTAGACAGAAGAATTCTCAGTAACTTCTTTGTGTTGTTTGTATTCAACTCACAGATTTGAACCTTCCTTTAGAGAGAGCAGATTTGAAACACTCTGTTTTTGGAATTTGCAAGTGCAGATTTCAAGCGCTTCTAGGCCTATGGCAGAAAAGGAAATATCTTCGTATAAAAACTACACAGAATCATTCTCAAAAACTACTTTGTGATGTGTGCGTTCAACTCACAGAGTTTAACCTTTCTTTTCATAGAGCAGTTTGGAAACACTCTGTTTGTAAAGTCTGCAGGTGCTTATTTGGACTTCTTTGAGGCCTTCGTTGGAAACGGGATTTCTTCATGTAATGCTAGACAGAAGAATTCTCAGTCACTTCTTTGTGTTGTGTGTATTCAAGTCACAGAGTTGAACCTTCCTTTACACAGAGCAGTTTTGAAAAACTCTTTCTGTGGAATTTGCAAGTGGAGATTTCAAGCGATTTGAGGCTAATCTTTGGAATGGAAATAGCTTCGTGTAAAAACTACACAGAATCATTCTCAGAAACTGCTTTGTTATGTGTGCGTTCAGCTCACAGAGTTCCACCTTTCTTTTCATAGAGCAGTTTGGAAAGACTCTGTTTGTAAAGTCTGCAAGTGATTACTTGGACCCCTTTGAGGACTTCGTTGGAAGCGGGATTTTTTCATTTACTGCTAGACAGAAGAATTCTCAGTAAATCCTTTGTGTTGTGTGTATTCAACACACAGAGTGGAACCTTCCTTTATTCAGAGCAGTTTTGAAACACTGTTTTTGTGGAATTTGCAAGTGGAGATTTCAAGCGAATTCACGCCAATCTTAGACATGGAAACATCTTCGTATTAAAAGTACACAGAGTCGTTCGCAGAAACTAGTTTGTGATGTGTGCCTTCAACTCACAGAGTTTAAGCTTTCTTTTCATAGAGCAGTTTGGAAACACTCTATTTGTAAAGTCTGCAAGTGGATATTTGGACCTCTTTTAGGCCTTCGTTGGAAACGGGATTTCTTCATATAACGCTAGACAGAAGAATTCTCAGTAACTTCTTTGTGTTGTGTGTATTCAACTCACAGAGTTGAACCTTTCTTTAGAGGGAGCAGAGGTGAAACACTCTTTTTGTGGAATTTGCTAGTGTAGATTTCAAACGCTTCGAAGACAGTGATAGAAAAGGATATATCTTCGTATTAAAAGTAGACAAAATCATTCTCAGAAAACTCTTTGTGATGTGTGTGTTCAACTCACAGAGTTTAACCTTTCTTTAATCGAGCAGTTTGGAAATACACTCTTTGTAAGTCTGCAGGTGGATATTTGGCCCTCTTTGAGCCCTTCGTTGGAAACGGGATTTCCTCATATAATGCTAGACAGAAGAATTCTCAGTAACTTCTTTGTGTTGTTTGTATTCAACTCACAGATTTGAACCTTCCTTTAGAGAGGGAAGGTTTGAAACACTCTGTTTTTAGAATTTGCAAGTGCAGATTTCAAGCGCTTCTAGGCCTATGGCAGAAAAGGAAATATCTTCGTATAAAAACTACACAGAATCATTCTCAACAACTACTTTGTGATGTGTGCGTTCAACTCACAGAGTTTAACCTTTCTTTTCATAGAGCAGTTTGGAAACACTCTGTTTGTAAAGCCTGCAAGTGCTTTTTTGGACTTCATTGAGGCCTTCGTTGGAAACGGGATTTCTTCATATAATGCTAGACAGAAGAATTCTCAGTCACTTCTTTGTGTTGTGTGTATTCAAGTCACAGAGTTGAACCTTCCTTTAGACAGAGCAGTTTTGAAAAATTCTTTCTGTGGAGTTTGCAAGTGGAGATTTCAAGCGATTTGAGGCTAATCTTTGAAATGGAAATATCTTCGTGTAAAAACTACACAGAATCATTCTCAGAAACTGCTTTGTCATCTGTGCGTTCAGTTCACAGAGTTTCACCTTTCTCTTCATAGAGCAGTTTGGAAAGACTCTGTCTGTAAAGTCTGCAAGTGATTACTTAGACCCCTTTGAGGCCTTCGTTGGAAGCGGGATTTCTCATTTACTGCTAGACAGAAGAATTCTCAGTAAATCCTTTGTGTTGTGTGTATTCAACTCACAGAGTGGAACCTTCCTTTATTCAGAGCAGTTTTGAAAAACACTTTTTGTGGAATTTGCAAGTGGAGATTTCAAGCGATTTGACGCCAATCTTAGACATGGAAATATCTTCATATTAAAAGTACACAGAGTCATTCGTAGAAACTAGTTTGTGATGTGTGCCTTCAACTCACAGAGTTTAACCTTTCTTTTCATAGAGCAGTTGGGAAACACTCTATTTGTAATGTCTGCAAGTGGATATTTGGACCTCTTTGAGGCCTTCGTTGGAAATGGGATTTCTTCATACAACACTAGACAGAAGAATTCTCAGTAACTTCTTTGTGTTGTGTGTATTCAACTCACAGAGTTGAACCTTTCTTTAGAGAGAGCAGAGATGAAACACTCTGTTTTTGGAATTTGCAAGTGCAGATTTCAAGCGATTCTAGGCCTATGGCAGGAAAGGAAATATCTTCGTATAAAAACTACACAGAATCATTCTCAACAACTACTTTGTGATGTGTGCGTTCAACTCACAAAGTTTAACCTTTCTTTTCATAGAGCAGTTTGGAAACACGCTGTTTGTAAAGCCTGCAAGTGCTTTTTTGGACTTCATTGAGGCCTTCGTTGGAAACGAGATTTCTTCATATAATGCTAGACAGAAGAATTCTCAGTCACTTCTTTGTGTTGTGTGTATTCAACTCACAGAGTTGAACCTTCCTTTAGACAGAGCAGTTTTGAAAAATTCTTTCTGTGGAGTTTGCAAGTGGAGATTTCAAGCGATTTGAGGCTAATCTTTGAAATGGAAATATCTTCGTGTAAAAACTACACAGAATCATTCTCAGAAACTGCTTTGTCATCTGTGCGTTCAGTTCACAGAGTTTCACCTTTCTCTTCATAGAGCAGTTTGGAAAGACTCTGTCTGTAAAGTCTGCAAGTGATTAGTTAGACCCCTTTGAGGCCTTCGTTGGAAGCGGGATTTCTCATTTACTGCTAGACAGAAGAATTCTCAGTAAATCCTTTGTGTTGTGTGTATTCAACTCACAGAGTGGAACCTTCCTTTATTCAGAGCAGTTTTGAAAAACACTTTTTGTGGAATTTGCAAGTGGAGATTTCAAGCGATTTGACGCCAATCTTAGACATGGAAATATCTTCATATTAAAAGTACACAGAGTCATTCGTAGAAACTAGTTTGTGATGTGTGCCTTCAACTCACAGAGTTTAACCTTTCTTTTCATAGAGCAGTTTGGAAACACTCTATTTGTAAAGTCTGCAAGTGGATATTTGGACCTCTTTGAGGCCTTCGTTGGAAACGGGATTTCTTCATACAACGCTAGACAGAAGAATTCTCAGTAACTTCTTTGTGTTGTGTGTATTCAACTCACAGAGTTGAACCTTTCTTTAGAGAGAGCAGAGTTGAAACACTCTGTTTTTGGAATTTGCAACTGCAGATTTCAAGCGATTATAGGCCTATGGCAGAAAAGGAAATATCTTCGTATAAAAACTACACAGAATCATTCTCAACAACTACTTTGTGATGTGTGCGTTCAACTCACAGAGTTTAACCTTTCTTTTCATAGAGCAGTTTGGAAACACTCTGTTTGTAAAGCCTGCAAGTGCTTTTTTGGACTTCATTGAGGCCTTCGTTGGAAACGGGATTTCTTCATGTAATGCTAGACAGAAGAATTCTCAGTCACTTCTTTGTGTTGTGTGTATTCAAGTCACAGAGTTGAACCTTCCTTTAGACAGAGCAGTTTTGAAAAATTCTTTCTGTGTAATTTGCAAGTGGAGATTTCAAGCGATTTGAGGCTAATCTTTGAAATGGAAATATCTTCGTGTAAAAACTACACAGAATCATTCTCAGAAACTGCTTTGTCATCTGTGCGTTCAGTTCACAGAGTTTCACCTTTCTCTTCATAGAGCAGTTTGGAAAGACTCTGTCTGTAAAGTCTGCAAGTGATTAGTTAGACCCCTTTGAGGCCTTCGTTGGAAGCGGGATTTCTCATTTACTGCTAGACAGAAGAATTCTCAGTAAATCCTTTGTGTTGTGTGTATTCAACTCACAGAGTGGAACCTTCCTTTATTCAGAGCAGTTTTGAAAAACACTTTTTGTGGAATTTGCAAGTGGAGATTTCAAGCGATTTGACGCCAATCTTAGACATGGAAATGTCTTCATATTAAAAGTACACAGAATCATTCTCAACAACTACTTTGTGATGTGTGCGTTCAACTCACAGAGTTTAACCTTTCTTTTCATAGAGCAGTTTGGAAACACTCTATTTGTAAAGTCTGCAAGTGGATATTTGGACCTCTTTGAGGCCTTCGTTGGAAACGGGATTTCTTCATATAACGCTAGACAGAAGAATTCTCAGTAACTTCTTTGTGTTGTGTGTATTCAACTCACAGAGTTGAACCTTTCTTTAGAGGGAGCAGAGGTGAAACACTCTTTTTGTGGAATTTGCTAGTGTAGATTTCAAACGCTTCGAAGACAGTGATAGAAAAGGATATATCTTCGTATTAAAAGTAGACAAAATCATTCTCAGAAAACTCTTTGTGATGTGTGTGTTCAACTCACAGAGTTTAACCTTTCTTTAATCGAGCAGTTTGGAAATACACTCTTTGTAATTCTGCAGGTGGATATTTGGCCCTCTTTGAGCCCTTCGTTGGAAACGGGATTTCCTCATATAATGCTAGACAGAAGAATTCTCAGTAACTTCTTTGTGTTGTTTGTATTCAACACACAGATTTGAACCTTCCTTTAGAGAGAGCAGATTTGAAACACTCTGTTTTTGGAATTTGCAAGTGCAGATTTCAAGCGCTTCTAGGCCTATGGCAGAAAAGGAAATATCTTCGTATAAAAACTACACAGAATCATTCTCAACAACTACTTTGTGATGTGTGCGTTCAACTCACAGAGTTTAACCTTTCTTTTCATAGAGCAGTTTGGAAACACTCTGTTTGTAAAGCCTGCAAGTGCTTTTTTGGACTTCATTGAGGCCTTCGTTGGAAACGGGATTTCTTCATATAATGCTAGACAGAAGAATTCTCAGTCACTTCTTTGTGTTGTGTGTATTCAAGTCACAGAGTTGAACCTTCCTTTAGACAGAGCAGTTTTGAAAAATTCTTTCTGTGGAGTTTGCAAGTGGAGATTTCAAGCGATTTGAGGCTAATCTTTGAAATGGAAATATCTTCGTGTAAAAACTACACAGAATCATTCTCAGAAACTGCTTTGTCATCTGTGCGTTCAGTTCACACAGTTTCACCTTTCTCTTCATAGAGCAGTTTGGAAAGACTCTGTCTGTAAAGTCTGCAAGTGATTAGTTAGACCCCTTTGAGGCCTTCGTTGGAAGCGGGATTTCTCATTTACTGCTAGACAGAAGAATTCTCAGTAAATCCTTTGTGTTGTGTGTATTCAACTCACAGAGTGGAACCTTCCTTTATTCAGAGCAGTTTTCAAAAACACTTTTTGTGGAATTTGCAAGTGGAGATTTCAAGCGATTTGACGCCAATCTTAGACATGGAAATACCTTCATATTAAAAGTACACAGAGTCATTCGTAGAAACTAGTTTGTGATGTGTGCCTTCAACTCACTGAGTTTAACCTTTCTTTTCATAGAGCAGTTTGGAAACACTCTGTTTGTAAAGTCTGCAAGTGGATATTTGGACCTCTTTGAGGCCTTCGTTGGAAACGGGATATCTTCATACAACGCTAGACAGAAGAATTCTCAGTAACTTCTTTGTGTTGTGTGTATTCAACTCACAGAGTTGAACCTTTCTTTAGAGAGAGCAGAGTTGAAACACTCTGTTTTTGGAATTTGCAAGTGCAGATTTCAAGCGATTCTAGGCCTATGGCAGAAAAGGAAATATCTTCGTATAAAAACTACACAGAATCATTCTCAACAACTACTTTGTGATGTGTGCGTTCAACTCACAGAGTTTAACCTTTCTTTTCATAGAGCAGTTTGGAAACACTCTGTTTGTAAAGCCTGCAAGTGCTTTTTTGGACTTCATTGAGGCCTTCGTTGGAAACGGGATTTCTTCATATAATGCTAGACAGAAGAATTCTCAGTCACTTCTTTGTGTTGTGTGTATTCAAGTCACAGAGTTGAACCTTCCTTTAGACAGAGCAGTTTTGAAAAATTCTTTCTGTGGAGTTTGCAAGTGGAGATTTCAAGCGATTTGAGGCTAATCTTTGAAATGGAAATATCTTCGTGTAAAAACTACACAGAATCATTCTCAACAACTACTTTGTGATGTGTGCGTTCAACTCACAAAGTTTAACCTTTCTTTTCACAGAGCAGTTTGGAAACACTCTGTTTGTAAAGCCTGCAATTGCTTTTTTGGACTTCATTGAGGCCTTCGTTGGAAAGGGGATTTCTTCATATAATGCTAGACAGAAGAATTCTCAGTAAATCCTTTGTGTTGTGTGTATTCAACTCACAGAGTGGAACCTTCCTTTATTCAGAGCAGTTTTGAAACACTCTTTTTGTGGAATTTGCAAGTGGAGATTTCAAGCGATTTGACGCCAATCTTAGACATGGAAATATCTTCATATTAAAAGTACACAGAGTCATTCGTAGAAACTAGTTTGTGATGTGTGCCTTCAACTCACAGAGTTTAACCTTTCTTTTCATAGAGCAGTTGGGAAACACTCTATTTGTAAAGTCTGCAAGTGGATATTTGGACCTCTTTGAGGCCTTCGTTGGAAACGGGATTTCTTCATATAACGCTAGACAGAAGAATTCTCAGTAACTTCTTTGTGTTGTGTGTATTCAACTCACAGAGTTGAACCTTTCTTTAGAGGGAGCAGAGGTGAAACACTCTTTTTGTGGAATTTGCTAGTGTAGATTTCAAACGCTTCGAAGACAGTGATAGAAAAGGATATATCTTCGTATTAAAAGTAGACAAAATCATTCTCAGAAAACTCTTTGTGATGTGTGTGTTCAACTCACAGAGTTTAACCTTTCTTTAATCGAGCAGTTTGGAAATACACTCTTTGTAAGTCTGCAGGTGGATATTTGGCCCTCTTTGAGCCCTTCGTTGGAAACGGGATTTCCTCATATAATGCTAGACAGAAGAATTCTCAGTAACTTCTTTGTGTTGTTTGTATTCAACACACAGATTTGAACCTTCCTTTAGAGAGAGCAGATTTGAAACACTCTGTTTTTGGAATTTGCAAGTGCAGATTTCAAGCGCTTCTAGGCCTATGGCAGAAAAGGAAATATCTTCGTATAAAAACTACACAGAATCATTCTCAACAACTACTTTGTGATGTGTGCGTTCAACTCACAGAGTTTAACCTTTCTTTTCATAGAGCAGTTTGGAAACACTCTGTTTGTAAAGTCTGCAGGTGCTTATTTGGACTTCTTTGAGGCCTTCGTTGGAAACGGGATTTCTTCATATAATGCTAGACAGAAGAATTCTCAGTCACTTCTTTGTGTTGTGTGTATTCAAGTCACAGAGTTGAACCTTCCTTTACACAGAGCAGTTTTGAAAAACTCTTTCTGTGGAATTTGCAAGTGGAGATTTCAAGCGATTTGAGGCTAATGCTTTGAAATGGAAATAGCTTCGTGTAAAAACTACACAGAAATCATTCTCAGAAACTGCTTTGTTATGTGTGCGTTCAGCTCGCAGAGTTCCACCTTTCTTTTCATAGAGCAGTTTGGAAAGACTCTGTCTGTAAAGTCTGCAAGTGATTACTTGGACCCCTTTGAGGACTTCGTTGGAAGCGGTATTTTTTCATTTACTGCTAGACAGAAGAATTCTCAGTAAATCCTTTGTGTTGTGTGTATTCAACTCACAGAGTGGAACCTTCCTTTATTCAGAGCAGTTTTGAAACACTCTTTTTGTGGAATTTGCAAGTGGAGATTTCAAGCGAATTCACGCCAATCTTAGACATGGAAACATCTTCGTATTAAAAGTACACAGAGTCATTCGCAGAAACTAGTTTGTGATGTGTGCCTTCAACTCACGGAGTTTAACCTTTCTTTTCATAGAGCAGTTTGGAAACACTCTATTTGTAAAGTCTGCAAGTGGATATTTGGACCTCTTTGAGGCCTTCGTTGGAAACGGGATTTCTTCATATAACGCTAGACAGAAGAATTCTCAGTAACTTCTTTGTGTTGTGTGTATTCAACTCACAGAGTTGAACCTTTCTTGAGAGAGAGCAGAGTGGAAACACTCTTTTTGTGGAATTTGCTAGTGCAGATTTCAAACGCTTCGAAGACAGTGATAGAAAAGGATATATCTTCGTATTAAAACTAGACAAAATCATTCTCAGAAAACACTTTGTGATGTGTGTGTTCAACTCACAGAGTTTAACCTTTCTTTAATCGAGCAGTTTGGAAATACACTCTTTGTAAGTCTGCAGCTGGATAATTGTCCCTCTATGAGCCCTTCGTTGGAAACAGGATTTCCTCTTATAATGCTAGACAGAAGAATTCTCAGTAACTTCTTTGTGTTGTTTGTATTCAACTCACAGATTTGAACCTTCCTTTAGAGAGAGCAGATATGAAACACTCTGTTTTTGGAATTTGCAAGTGCAGATTACAAGCGCTTCTAGGCCTATGGCAGAAAAGGAAATATCTTCGTATAAAAACTACACAGAATCATTCTCAACAACTACTTTGTGATGTGTGCGTTCAACTCACAGAGTTTAACCTTTCTTTTCATAGAGCAGTTTGGAAACACTCTGTTTGTAAAGTCTGCAGGTGCTTATTTGGACTTCTTTGAGGCCTTCGTTGGAAACGGGATTTCTTCATGTAATGCTAGACAGAAGAATTCTCAGTCACTTCTTTGTGTTGTGTGTATTCAAGTCACAGAGTTGAACCTTCCTTTACACAGAGCAGTTTTGAAAAACTCTTTCTGTGGAATTTGCAAGTGGAGATTTCAAGCGATTTGAGGCTAATCTTTGAAATGGAAATAGCTTCGTGTAAAAACTACACAGAATCATTCTCAGAAACTGCTTTGTTATGTGTGCGTTCAGCTCACAGAGTTCCACCTTTCTTTTCATAGAGCAGTTTGGAAAGACTCTGTCTGTAAAGTCTGCAAGTGATTACTTGGACCCCTTTGAGGACTTCGTTGGAAGCGGGATTTTTTCATTTACTGCTAGACAGAAGAATTCTCAGTAAATCCTTTGTGTTGTGTGTATTCAACTCACAGAGTGGAACCTTCCTTTATTCAGAACACTTTTGAAACACTCTTTTTGTGGAATTTGCAGGTGGAGATTTCAAGCGAATTCACGCCAATCTTAGACATGGAAACATCTTCGTATTAAAAGTACACAGAGTCATTCGCAGAAACTAGTTTGTGATGTGTGCCTTCAACTCACGGAGTTTAACCTTTCTTTTCATAGAGCAGTTTGGAAACACTCTATTTGTAAAGTCTGCAAGTGGATATTTGGACCTCTTTGAGGCCTTCGTTGGAAACGGGATTTCTTCATATAACGCTAGACAGAAGAATTCTCAGTAACTTCTTTGTGTTGTGTGTATTCAACTCACAGAGTTGAACCTTTCTTGAGAGAGAGCAGAGTTGAAACACTCTGTTTGTGGAATTTGCTAGTGCAGATTTCAAACGCTTCGAAGACAGTGATAGAAAAGGATATATCTTCGTATTAAAACTAGACAAAATCATTCTCAGAAAACACTTTGTGATGTGTGTGTTCAACTCACAGAGTTTAACCTTTCTTTAATCGAGCAGTTTGGAAATACACTCTTTGTAAGTCTGCAGCTGGATAATTGTCCCTCTATGAGCCCTTCGTTGGAAACGGGATTTCCTCTTATAATGCTAGACAGAAGAATTCTCAGTAACTTCTTTGTGTTGTTTGTATTCAACTCACAGATTTGAACCTTCCTTTAGAGAGAGCAGATTTGAAACACTCTGTTTTTGGAATTTGCAAGTGCAGATTACAAGCGCTTCTAGGCCTATGGCAGAAAAGGAAATATCTTCGTATAAAAACTACACAGAATCATTCTCAACAACTACTTTGTGATGTGTGCGTTCAACTCACAGAGTTTAACCTTTCTTTTCATAGAGCAGTTTGGAAACACTCTGTTTGTAAAGTCTGCAGGTGCTTATTTGGACTTCTTTGAGGCCTTCGTTGGAAACGGGATTTCTTCATATAATGCTAGACAGAAGAATTCTCAGTCACTTCTTTGTGTTGTGTGTATTCAAGTCACAGAGTTGAACCTTCCTTTACACAGAGCAGTTTTGAAAAACTCTTTCTGTGGAATTTGCAAGTGGAGATTTCAAGCGATTTGAGGCTAATCTTTGAAATGGAAATAGCTTCGTGTAAAAACCACACAGAATCATTCTCAGAAACTGCTTTGTTATGTGTGCGTTCAGCTCACAGAGTTCCACCTTTCTTTTCATAGAGCAGTTTGGAAAGACTCTGTCTGTAAAGTCTGCAAGTGATTACTTGGACCCCTTTGAGGACTTCGTTGGAAGCGGGATTTTTTCATTTACTGCTAGACAGAAGAATTCTCAGTAAATCCTTTGTGTTGTGTGTATTCAACTCACAGAGTGGAACCTTCCTTTATTCAGAGCAGTTTTGAAACACTCTTTTTGTGGAATTTGCAAGTGGAGATTTCAAGCGAATTCACGCCAATCTTAGACATGGAAACATCTTCGTATTAAAAGTACACAGAGTCATTCGCAGAAACTTGTTTGTGATGTGTGCCTTCAACTCACAGAGTTTAACCTTTCTTTTCATAGAGCAGTTTGGAAACACTCTATTTGTAAAGTCTGCAAGTGGATATTTGGACCTCTTTGAGGCCTTCGTTGGAAACGGGATTTCTTCATATAACGCTAGACAGAAGAATTCTCAGTAACTTCTTTGTGTTGTGTGTATTCCACTCACAGAGTTGAACCTTTCTTGAGAGAGAGCAGAGTTGAAACACTCTGTTTGTGGAATTTGCTAGTGCAGATTTCAAACGCTTCGAAGACAGTGATAGAAAAGGATATATCTTCGTATTAAAACTAGACAAAATCATTCTCAGAAAACACTTTGTGATGTGTGTGTTCAACTCACAGAGTTTAACCTTTCTTTAATCGAGCAGTTTGGAAATACACTCTTTGTAAGTCTGCAGCTGGATAATTGTCCCTCTATGAGCCCTTCGTTGGAAACGGGATTTCCTCATATAATGCTAGACAGAAGAATTCTCAGTAACTTCTTTGTGTTGTTTGTATTCAACTCACAGATTTGAACCTTCCTTTGGAGAGAGCAGATTTGAAACACTCTGTTTTTGGAATTTGCAAGTGCAGATTTCAAGTGCTTCTAGGCCTATGGCAGAAAAGGAAATATCTTCGTATAAAAACTACACAGAATCATTCTCAACAACTACTTTGTGATGTGTGCGTTCAACTCACAGAGTTTAACCTTTCTTTTCATAGAGCAGTTTGGAAACACTCTGTTTGTAAAGTCTGCAGGTGCTTATTTGGACTTCTTTGAGGCCTTCGTTGGAAACGGGATTTCTTCATGTAATGCTAGACAGAAGAATTCTCAGTCACTTCTTTGTGTTGTGTGTATTCAAGTCACAGAGTTGAACCTTCCTTTACACAGAGCAGTTTTGAAAAACTCTTTCTGTGGAATTTGCAAGTGGAGATTTCAAGCGATTTGAGGCTAATCTTTGAAATGGAAATATCTTCGTGTAAAAACTACACAGAATCATTCTCAGAAACTGCTTTGTTATGTGTGCGTTCAGCTCACAGAGTTCCACCTTTCTTTTCATAGAGCAGTTTGGAAAGACTCTGTCTGTAAAGTCTGCAAGTGATTACTTGGACCCCTTTGAGGACTTCGTTGGAAGCGGGATTTTTTCATTTACTGCTAGACAGAAGAATTCTCAGTAAATCCTTTGTGTTGTGTGTATTCAACTCACAGAGTGGAACCTTCCTTTATTCAGAGCAGTTTTGAAACACTCTTTTTGTGGAATTTGCAAGTGGAGATTTCAAGCGAATTCACGCCAATCTTAGACATGGAAACATCTTCGTATTAAAAGTACACAGAGTCATTCGCAGAAACTAGTTTGTGATGTGTGCCTTCAACTCACGGAGTTTAACCTTTCTTTTCATAGAGCAGTTTGGAAACACTCTATTTGTAAAGTCTGCAAGTGGATATTTGGACCTCTTTGAGGCCTTCGTTGGAAACGGGATTTCTTCATATAACGCTAGACAGAAGAATTCTCAGTAACTTCTTTGTGTTGTGTGTATTCAACTCACAGAGTTGAACCTTTCTTGAGAGAGAGCAGAGTTGAAACACTCTGTTTGTGGAATTTGCTAGTGCAGATTTCAAACGCTTCGAAGACAGTGATAGAAAAGGATATATCTTCGTATTAAAACTAGACAAAATCATTCTCAGAAAACACTTTGTGATGTGTGTGTTCAACTCACAGAGTTTAACCTTTCTTTAATCGAGCAGTTTGGAAATACACTCTTTGTAAGTCTGCAGCTGGATAATTGTCCCTCTATGAGCCCTTCGTTGGAAACGGGATTTCCTCTTATAATGCTAGACAGAAGAATTCTCAGTAACTTCTTTGTGTTGTTTGTATTCAACTCACAGATTTGAACCTTCCTTTAGAGAGAGCAGATTTGAAACACTCTGTTTTCGGAATTTGCAAGTGCAGATTACAAGCGCTTCTAGGCCTATGGCAGAAAAGGAAATATCTTCGTATAAAAACTACACAGAATCATTCTCGACAACTACTTTGTGATGTGTGCGTTCAACTCACAGAGTTTAACCTTTCTTTTCATAGAGCAGTTTGGAAACACTCTGTTTGTAAAGTCTGCAGGTGCTTATTTGGACTTCTTTGAGGCCTTCGTTGGAAACGGGATTTCTTCATATAATGCTAGACAGAAGAATTCTCAGTCACTTCCCTGTGTTGTGTGTATTCAAGTCACAGAGTTGAACCTTCCTTTACACAGAGCAGTTTAGGAAAACTCTTTCTGTGGAATTTGCAAGTGGAGATTTCAAGCGATTTGAGGCTAATCTTTGAAATGGAAATATCTTCGTGTAAAAACTACACAGAATCATTCTCAGAAACTGCTTTGTTATGTGTGCGTTCAGCTCACAGAGTTCCACCTTTCTTTTCATAGAGCAGTTTGGAAAGACTCTGTCTGTAAAGTCTGCAAGTGATTACTTGGACCCCTTTGAGGACTTCGTTGGAAGCGGGATTTTTTCATTTACTGCTAGACAGAAGAATTCTCAGTAAATCCTTTGTGTTGTGTGTATTCAACTCACAGAGTGGAACCTTCCTTTATTCAGAGCACTTTTGAAACACTCTTTTTGTGGAATTTGCAAGTGGAGATTTCAAGCGAATTCACGCCAATCTTAGACATGGAAACATCTTCGTATTAAAAGTACACAGAGTCATTCGCAGAAACTAGTTTGTGATGTGTGCCTTCAACTCACGGAGTTTAACCTTTCTTTTCATAGAGCAGTTTGGAAACACTCTATTTGTAAAGTCTGCAAGTGGATATTTGGACCTCTTTGAGGCCTTCGTTGGAAATGGGATTTCTTCATATAACGCTAGACAGAAGAATTCTCAGTAACTTCTTTGTGTTGTGTGTATTCAACTCACAGAGTTGAACCTTTCTTGAGAGAGAGCAGAGTTGAAACACTCTTTCTGTGGAATTTGCTAGTGCAGATTTCAAACGCTTCGAAGACAGTGATAGAAAAGGATATATCTTCGTATTAAAACTAGACAAAATCATTCTCAGAAAACACTTTGTGATGTGTGTGTTCAACTCACAGAGTTTAACCTTTCTTTAATCGAGCAGTTTGGAAATACACTCTTTGTAAGTCTGCAGCTGGATAATTGTCCCTCTATGAGCCCTTCGTTGGAAACAGGATTTCCTCTTATAATGCTAGACAGAAGAATTCTCAGTAACTTCTTTGTGTTGTTTGTATTCAACTCACAGATTTGAACCTTCCTTTGGAGAGAGCAGATTTGAAACACTCTGTTTTTGGAATTTGCAAGTGCAGATTACAAGCGCTTCTAGGCCTATGGCAGAAAAGGAAATATCTTCGTATAAAAACTACACAGAATCATTCTCAACAACTACTTTGTGATGTGTGCGTTCAACTCACAGAGTTTAACCTTTCTTTTCATAGAGCAGTTTGGAAACACTCTGTTTGTAAAGTCTGCAGGTGCTTATTTGGACTTCTTTGAGGCCTTCGTTGGAAACGGGATTTCTTCATGTAATGCTAGACAGAAGAATTCTCAGTCACTTCTTTGTGTTGTGTGTATTCAAGTCACAGAGTTGAACCTTCCTTTACACAGAACAGTTTTGAAAAACTCTTTCTGTGGAATTTGCAAGTGGAGATTTCAAGCGATTTGAGGCTAATCTTTGAAATGGAAATAGCTTCGTGTAAAAACTACACAGAATCATTCTCAGAAACTGCTTTGTTATGTGTGCGTTCAGCTCACAGAGTTCCACCTTTCTTTTCATAGAGCAGTTTGGAAAGACTTTGTCTGTAAAGTCTGCAAGTGATTACTTGGACCCCTTTGAGGACTTCGTTGGAAGCGGGATTTTTTCATTTACTGCTAGACAGAAGAATTCTCAGTAAATCCTTTGTGTTGTGTGTATTCAACTCACAGAGTGGAACCTTCCTTTATTCAGAGCAGTTTTGAAACACTCTTTTTGTGGAACTTGCAAGTGGAGATTTCAAGCGAATTCACGCCAATCTTAGACATGGAAACAACTTCGTATTAAAAGTACACAGAGTCATTCGCAGAAACTAGCTTGTGATGTGTGCCTTCAACTCACGGAGTTTAACCTTTCTTTTCATAGAGCAGTTTGGAAACACTCTATTTGTAAAGTCTGCAAGTGGATATTTGGACCTCTTTGAGGCCTTCGTTGGAAACGGGATTTCTTCATATAACGCTAGACAGAAGAATTCTCAGTAACTTCTTTGTGTTGTGTGTATTCAACTCACAGAGTTGAACCTTTCTTGAGAGAGAGCAGAGTTGAAACACTCTGTTTGTGGAATTTGCTAGTGCAGATTTCAAACGCTTCGAAGACAGTGATAGAAAAGGATATCTTCGTATTAAAACTAGACAAAATCATTCTCAGAAAACACTTTGTGATGTGTGTGTTCAACTCACAGAGTTTAACCTTTCTTTAATCGAGCAGTTTGGAAATACACTCTTTGTAAGTCTGCAGCTGGATAATTGTCCCTCTATGAGCCCTTCGTTGGAAACGGGATTTCCTCTTATAATGCTAGACAGAAGAATTCTCAGTAACTTCTTTGTGTTGTTTGTATTCAACTCACAGATTTGAACCTTCCTTTAGAGAGAGCAGATTTGAAACACTCTGTTTTTGGAATTTGCAAGTGCAGATTACAAGCGCTTCTAGGCCTATGGCAGAAAAGGAAATATCTTCGTATAAAAACTACACAGAATCATTCTCAACAACTACTTTGTGATGTGTGCGTTCAACTCACAGAGTTTAACCTTTCTTTTCATAGAGCAGTTTGGAAACACTCTGTTTGTAAAGTCTGCAGGTGCTTATTTGGACTTCTTTGAGGCCTTCGTTGGAAACGGGATTTCTTCATATAATGCTAGACAGAAGAATTCTCAGTCACTTCTTTGTGTTGTGTGTATTCAAGTCACAGAGTTGAACCTTCCATTACACAGAGCAGTTTTGAAAAACTCTTTCTGTGGAATTTGCAAGTGGAGATGTCAAGCGATTTGAGGCTAATCTTTGAAATGGAAATATCTTCGTGTAAAAACTACACAGAATCATTCTCAGAAACTGCTTTGTTATGTGTGCGTTCAGCTCACAGAGTTCCACCTTTCTTTTCATAGAGCAGTTTGGAAAGACTCTGTCTGTAAAGTCTGCAAGTGATTACTTGGACCCCTTTGAGGACTTCGTTGGAAGCGGGATTTTTTCATTTACTGCTAGACAGAAGAATTCTCAGTAAATCCTTTGTGTTGTGTGTATTCAACTCACAGAGTGGAACCTTCCTTTATTCAGAGCACTTTTGAAACACTCTTTTTGTGGAATTTGCAAGTGGAGATTTCAAGCGAATTCACGCCAATCTTAGACATGGAAACATCTTCGTATTAAAAGTACACAGAGTCATTCGCAGAAACTAGTTTGTGATGTGTGCCTTCAACTCACGGAGTTTAACCTTTCTTTTCATAGAGCAGTTTGGAAACACTCTATTTGTAAAGTCTGCAAGTGGATATTTGGACCTCTTTGAGGCCTTCGTTGGAAACGGGATTTCTTCATATAACGCTCGACAGAAGAATTCTCAGTAACTTCTTTGTGTTGTGTGTTTTCAACTCACAGAGTTGAACCTTTCTTGAGAGAGAGCAGAGTTGAAACACTCTTTCTGTGGAATTTGCTAGTGCAGATTTCAAACGCTTCGAAGACAATGATAGAAAAGGATATATCTTCGTATTAAAACTAGACAAAATCATTCTCAGAAAACACTTTGTGATGTGTGTGTTCAACTCACAGAGTTTAACCTTTCTTTAATCGAGCAGTTTGGAAATACACTCTTTGTAAGTCTGCAGCTGGATAATTGTCCCTCTATGAGCCCTTCGTTGGAAACGGGATTTCCTCTTATAATGCTAGACAGAAGAATTCTCAGTAACTTCTTTGTGTTGTTTGTATTCAACTCACAGATTTGAACCTTCCTTTAGAGAGAGCAGATTTGAAACACTCTGTTTTTGGAATTTGCAAGTGCAGATTACAAGCGCTTCTAGGCCTATGGCAGAAAAGGAAATACCTTCGTATAAAAACTACACAGAATCATTCTCAGAAAACACTTTGTGATGTGTGTGTTCAACTCACAGAGTTTAACCTTTCTTTAATCGAGCAGTTTGGAAATACACTCTTTGTAAGTCTGCAGCTGGATAATTGTCCCTCTATGAGCCCTTCGTTGGAAACGGGATTTCCTCTTATAATGCTAGACAGAAGAATTCTCAGTAACTTCTTTGTGTTGTTTGTATTCAACTCACAGATTTGAACCTTCCTTTAGAGAGAGCAGATTTGAAACACTCTGGTTTTGGAATTTGCAAGTGCAGATTACAAGCGCTTCTAGGCCTATGGCAGAAAAGGAAATATCTTCGTATAAAAACTACACAGAATCATTCTCAACAACTACTTTGTGATGTGTGCGTTCAACTCACAGAGTTTAACCTTTCTTTTCATAGAGCAGTTTGGAAACACTCTGTTTGTAAAGTCTGCAGGTGCTTATTTGGACTTCTTTGAGGCCTTCGTTGGAAACGGGATTTCTTCATATAATGCTAGACAGAAGAATTCTCAGTCACTTCTTTGTGTTGTGTGTATTCAAGTCACAGAGTTGAACCTTCCTTTACACAGAGCAGTTTTGAAAAACTCTTTCTGTGGAATTTGCAAGTGGAGATTTCAAGCGATTTGAGGCTAATCTTTGAAATGGAAATATCTTCGTGTAAAAACTACACAGAATCATTGTCAGAAACTGCTTTGTTATGTGTGCGTTCAGCTCACAGAGTTCCACCTTTCTTTTCATAGAGCAGTTTGGAAAGACTCTGTCTGTAAAGTCTGCAAGTGATTACTTGGACCCCTTTGAGGACTTCGTTGGAAGCGGGATTTTTTCATTTACTGCTAGACAGAAGAATTCTCATTAAATCCTTTGTGTTGTGTGTATTCAACTCACAGAGTTGAACCTTCCTTTATTCAGAGCAGTTTTGAAACACTCTTTTTGTGGAATTTGCAAGTGGAGATTTCAAGCGAATTCACGCCAATCTTAGACATGGAAATATCTTCGTATTAAAAGTACACAGAGTCATTCGCAGAATCTTGTTTGTGATGTGTGCCTTCAACTCACAGAGTTTAACCTTTCTTTTCATAGAGCAGTTCGGAAAAACTCTATTTGTAAAGTCTGCAAGTGGATATTTGGACCTCTTTGAGGCCTTCGTTGGAAACGGGATTTCTTCATATAACGCTAGACAGAAGAATTCTCAGTAACTTCTTTGTGTTGTTTGTATTCAACTCACAGATTTGAACCTTTCTTTAGATAGAGCAGATTTGAAACACTCTGTTTTTGGAATTTGCAAGGGCAGATTTCAAGCGCTTCTAGGCCTATGGCAGAAAAGGAAATATCTTCGTATAAAAACAACACAGAATCATTCTCAACAACTACTTTGTGATGTGCGCGTTCAACTCACAGACTTTAACCTTTCTTTTCATAGAGCAGTTTGGAAACACTCTGTTTGTAAAGTCTGCAGGTGCTTATTTGGACTTCTTTGAGGCCTTCGTTGGATAGGGGATTTCTTCATATAATGCTAGACAGAAGAATTCTCAGTAACTTCTTTGTGTTGTTTGTATTCAACTCACAGATTTGAACCTTCCTTTAGAGAGAGCAGATTTGAAACACTCTGTTTTTGGAATTTGCAAGTGCAGATTTCAAGCGATTCTAGGCCTATGGCAGAAAAGGAAATATCTTCGTATAAAAACTACACAGAATCATTCTCAACAACTACTTTGTGATGTGTGCGTTCAACTCACAGAGTTTAAACTTTCTTTTCATAGAGCAGTTTGGAAACACTCTGTTTGTAAAGCCTGCAAGTGCTTTTTTGGACTTCATTGAGGCCTTCGTTGGAAACGGGATTTCTTCATATAATGCTGGACAGAAGAATTCTCTTTAAATCCTTTGTGTTGTGTGTATTCAACTCACAGAGTTGAACCTTCCTTTATTCAGAGCAGTTTTGAAACACTCTTTCTGTGGAATTTGCAAGTGGAGATTTCAAGCGATTTGAGGCTAATCTTTGAAATGGAAATATCTTCGTGTAAAAACTACACAGAATCATTCTCAGAAACTGCTTTGTTATCTGTGCGTTCAGTTCACAGAGTTTCACCTTTCTCTTCATAGAGCAGTTTGGAAAGACTCTGTCTGTAAAGTCTACAAGTGATTAGTTAGACCCCTTTGAGGCCTTCGTAGGAAGTGGGATTTCTCATTTACTGCTAGACAGAAGAATTCTCAGTAAATCCCTTGTGTTGTGTGTATTCAACTCATAGAGTTGAACCTTCCTTTATTCAGAGAAGTTTTGAAAAACACTTTTTGTGGAATTTGCAAGTGGAGATTTCAAGCGATTTGATGCCAATCTTAGACGTGGAAATATCTTCATATTAAAAGTACACAGAGTCATTCGTAGAAACTAGTTTGTGATGTGTGCCTTCAACTCACAGAGTTTAACCTTTCTTTTCATAGAGCAGTTTGGAAACACTCTATTTGTAAAGTCTGCAAGTAGATATTTGGACCTCTTTGAGGCCTTCGTTGGAAACGGGATTTCTTCATATAACGCTAAACAGAAGAATTCTCAGTAACTTCTTTGTGTTGTGTGTATTCCACTCACAGTAGTTGAACCTTTCTTGAGAGAGAGCAGAGTTGAAACACTCTGTTTGTGGAATTTGCTAGTGCAGATTTCAAACGCTTCGAAGACAGTGATAGAAAAGGATATATCTTCGTATTAAAACTAGACAAAATCATTCTCAGAAAACACTTTGTGATGTGTGTGTTCAACTCACAGAGTTTAACCTTTCTTTAATCGAGCAGTTTGGAAATACACTCTTTGTAAGTCTGCAGGTGGATAATTGTCCCTCTATGAGCCCTTCGTTGGAAACGGGATTTCCTCATATAATGCTAGACAGAAGAATTCTCAGTAACTTCTTTGTGTTGTTTGTATTCAACTCACAGATTTGAAACTTCCTTTAGAGGGAGCAGATTTGAAACACTCTGTTTTTGGAATTTGCAAGTGCAGATTGCAAGCGCTTCTAGGCCTATGGCAGAAAAGGAAATATCTTCGTATAAAAACTACACAGAATCATTCTCAACAACTACTTTGTGATGTGTGCGTTCAACTCACAGAGTTTAACCTTTCTTTTCATAGAGCAGTTTGGAAACACTCTGTTTGTAAAGTCTGCAGGTGCTTATTTGGACTTCTTTGAGGCCTTCGTTGGAAACGGGATTTCTTCATATAATGCTAGACAGAAGAATTCTCAGTCACTTCTTTGTGTTGTGTGTATTCAAGTCACAGAGTTGAACCTTCCTTTACACAGAGCAGTTTTGAAAAACTCTTTCTGTGGAATTTGCAAGTGGAGATTTCAAGCGATTTGAGGTTAATCTTTGAAATGGAAATATCTTCGTGTAAAAACTACACAGAATCATTCTCAGAAACTGCTTTGTTATGTGTGCGTTCAGCTCACAGAGTTCCACCTTTCTTTTCATAGAGCAGTTTGGAAAGACTCTGTCTGTAAAGTCTGCAAGTGATTACTTGGACCCCTTTGAGGACTTCGTTGGAAGCGGGATTTTTTCATTTACTGCTAGACAGAAGAATTCTCAGTAAATCCTTTGTGTTGTGTGTATTCAACTCACAGAGTGGAACCTTCCTTTATTCAGAGCAGTTTTGAAACACTCTTTTTGTGGAATTTGCAAGTGGAGATTTCAAGCGAATTCACGCCAATCTTAGACATGGAAACATCTTCGTATTAAAAGTACACAGAGTCATTCGCAGAAACTAGTTTGTGATGTGTGCCTTCATCTCACAGAGTTTAAGCTTTCTTTTCATAGAGCAGTTTGGAAACACTCTATTTGTAAAGTCTGCAAGTGGATATTTGGACCTCTTTGAGGCCTTCGTTGGAAACGGGATTTCTTCATATAACGCTAGACAGAAGAATTCTCAGTAACATCTTTGTGTTGTGTGTATTCCACTCACAGAGTTGAACCTTTCTTGAGAGAGAGCAGAGTTGAAACACTCTTTTTGTGGAATTTGCTAGTGCCGATTTCAAACGCTTCGAAGACAGTGATAGAAAAGGATATATCTTCGTATTAAAACTAGACAAAATCATTCTCAGAAAACACTTTGTGATGTGTGTGTTCAACTCACAGAGTTTAACCTTTCTTTAATCGAGCAGTTTGGAAATACACTCTTTGTAAGTCTGCAGCTGGATAATTGTCCCTCTATGATCCCTTCTTTGGAAACGGGATTTCTTCTTATAATGCTAGACAGAAGAATTCTCAGTAACTTCTTTGTGTTGTTTGTATTCAACTCACAGATTTGAACCTTCCTTTAGAGAGAGCAGATTTGAAACACTCTGTTTTTGGAATTTGCAAGTGCAGATTGCAAGCGCTTCTAGGCCTATGGCAGAAAAGGAAATATCTTCGTATAAAAACTACACAGAATCATTCTCAACAACTACTTTGTGATGTGTGCGTTCAACTCACAGAGTTTAACCTTTCTTTTCATAGAGCAGTTTGGAAACACTCTGTTTGTAAAGTCTGCAGGTGCTTATTTGGACTTCTTTGAGGCCTTCGTTGGAAACGGGATTTCTTCATATAATGCTAGACAGAAGAATTCTCAGTCACTTCCTTGTGTTGTGTGTATTCAAGTCACAGAGTTGAACCTTCCTTTACACAGAGCAGTTTTGAAAAACTCTTTCTGTGGAATTTGCAAGTGGAGATTTCAAGCGATTTGAGGCTAATCTTTGAAATGGAAATATCTTCGTGTAAAAACTACACAGAATCATTCTCAGAAACTGCTTTGTTATGTGTGCGTTCAGCTCACAGAGTTCCACCTTTCTTTTCATAGAGCAGTTTGGAAAGACTCTGTCTGTAAAGTCTGCAAGTGATTACTTGGACCCCTTTGAGGACTTCGTTGGAAGCGGGATTTTTTCATTTACTGCTAGACAGAAGAATTCTCAGTAAATCCTTTGTGTTGTGTGTATTCAACTCACAGAGTGGAACCTTCCTTTATTCAGAGCAGTTTTGAAACACTCTTTTTGTGGAATTTGCAAGTGGAGATTTCAAGCGAATTCACGCCAATCTTAGACATGGAAACATCTTCGTATTAAAAGTACACAGAGTCATTTGCAGAAACTAGTTTGTGATGTGTGCCTTCAACTCACGGAGTTTAACCTTTCTTTTCATAGAGCAGTTTGGAAACACTCTATTTGTAAAGTCTGCAAGTGGATATTTGGACCTCTTTGAGGCCTTCGTTGGAAACGGGATTTCTTCATATAACGCTAGACAGAAGAATTCTCAGTAACTTCTTTGTGTTGTGTGTATTCCACTCACAGAGTTGAACCTTTCTTGAGAGAGAGCAGAGTTGAAACACTCTGTTTGTGGAATTTGCTAGTGCCGATTTCAAACGCTTCGAAGACAGTGATAGAAAAGGATATATCTTCGTATTAAAACTAGACAAAATCATTCTCAGAAAACACTTTGTGATGTGTGTGTTCAACTCACAGAGTTTAACCTTTCTTTAATCGAGCAGTTTGGAAATACACTCTTTGTAAGTCTGCAGCTGGATAATTGTCCCTCTATGAGCCCTTCGTTGGAAACGGGATTTCCTCTTATAATGCTAGACAGAAGAATTCTCAGTAACTTCTTTGTGTTGTTTGTATTCAACTCACAGATTTGAACCTTCCTTTGGAGAGAGCAGATTTGAAACACTCTGTTTTTGGAATTTGCAAGTGCAGATTGCAAGCACTTCTAGGCCTATGGCAGAAAATTAAATATCTTCGTATAAAAACTACACAGAATCATTCTCAACAACTACTTTGTGATGTGTGCGTTCAACTCACAGAGTTTAACCTTTCTTTTCATAGAGCAGTTTGGAAACACTCTGTTTGTAAAGTCTGCAGGTGCTTATTTGGACTTCTTTGAGGCCTTCGTTGGAAACGGGATTTCTTCATATAATGCTAGACAGAAGAATTCTCAGTCACTTCTTTGTGTTGTGTGTATTCAAGTCACAGAGTTGAACCTTCCTTTACACAGAGCAGTTTTGAAAAACTCTTTCTGTGGAATTTGCAAGTGGAGATTTCAAGCGATTTGAGGCTAATCTTTGAAATGGAAATATCTTCGTGTAAAAACTACACAGAATCATTCTCAGAAACTGCTTTGTTATGTGTGCGTTCAGCTCACAGAGTTCCACCTTTGTTTTCATAGAGCAGTTTGGAAAGACTCTGTCTGTAAAGTCTGCAAGTGATTACTTGGACCCCTTTGAGGACTTCGTTGGAAGCGGGATTTTTTCATTTACTGCTAGACAGAAGAATTCTCAGTAAATCCTTTGTGTTGTGTGTATTCAACTCACAGAGTGGAACCTTCCTTTATTCAGAGCAGTTTTGAAACACTCTTTTTGTGGAATTTGCAAGTGGAGATTTCAAGCGAATTCACGCCAATCTTAGACATGGAAACATCTTCGTATTAAAAGTACACAGAGTCATTCGCAGAAACTAGTTTGTGATGTGTGCCTTCAACTCACAGAGTTTAACCTTTCTTTTCATAGAGCAGTTTGGAAACACTCTATTTGTAAAGTCTGCAAGTGGATATTTGGACCTCTTTGAGGCCTTCGTTGGAAACGGGATTTCTTCATATAACGCTAGACAGAAGAATTCTCAGTAACTTCTTTGTGTTGTGTGTATTCCACTCACAGAGTTGAACCTTTCTTTAGAGAGAGCAGAGTTGAAACACTCTGTTTGTGGAATTTGCTAGTGCCGATTTCAAACGCTTCGAAGACAGTGATAGAAAAGGATATATCTTCGTATTAAAACTAGACAAAATCATTCTCAGAAAACACTTTGTGATGTGTGTGTTCAACTCACAGAGTTTAACCTTTCTTTAATCGAGCAGTTTGGAAATACACTCTTTGTAAGTCTGCAGCTGGATAATTGTCCCTCTATGAGCCCTTCGTTGGAAACGGGATTTCCTCTTATAATGCTAGACAGAAGGATTCTCAGTAACTTCTTTGTGTTGTTTGTACTCAACTCACAGATTTGAACCTTCCTTTAGAGAGAGCAGATTTGAAACACTCTGTTTTTGGAATTTGCAAGTGCAGATTACAAGCGCTTCTAGGCCTATGGCAGAAAAGGAAATATCTTCGTATAAAAACTACACAGAATCGTTCTCAACAACTACTTTGTGATGTGTGCGTTCAACTCACACAGTTTACCCTTTCTTTTCATAGAGCAGTTTGGAAACACCCTGTTTGTAAAGTCTGCAGGTGCTTATTTGGACTTCTTTGAGGCCTTAGTTGGAAACGGGATTTCTTCATATAATGCTAGACAGAAGAATTCTCAGTCACTTCTTTGTGTTGTGTGTATTCAAGTCACAGAGTTGAACCTTCCTTTACACAGAGCAGTTTTGAAAAACTCTTTCTGTGGAATTTGCAAGTGGAGATTTCAAGCGATTTGGAGGCTAATCTTTGAAATGGAAATATCTTCGTGTAAAAACTACACAGAATCATTCTCAGAAACTGCTTTGTTATGTGTGCGTTCAGCTCACAGAGTTCCACCTTTCTTTTCATAGAGCAGTTTGGAAAGACTCTGTCTGTAAAGTCTGCAAGTGATTACTTGGACCCCTTTGAGGACTTCGTTGGAAGCGGGATTTTTTCATTTACTGCTAGACAGAAGAATTCTCAGTAAATCCTTTGTGTTGTGTGTATTCAACTCACAGAGTGGAACCTTCCTTTATTCAGAGCACTTTTGAAACACTCTTTTTGTGGAATTTGCAAGTGGAGATTTCAAGCGAATTCACGCCAATCTTAGACATGGAAACATCTTCGTATTAAAAGTACACAGAGTCATTCGCAGAAACTAGTTTGTGATGTGTGCCTTCAACTCACGGAGTTTAACCTTTCTTTTCATAGAGCAGTTTGGAAACACTCTATTTGTAAAGTCTGCAAGTGGATATTTGGACGTCTTTGAGGCCTTCGTTGGAAACGGGATTTCTTCATATAACGCTAGACAGAAGAATTCTCAGTAACTTCTTTGTGTTGTGTGTATTCAACTCACAGAGTTGAACCTTTCTTGAGAGAGAGCAGAGTTGAAACACTCTGTTTGTGGAATTTGCTAGTGCAGATTTCAAACGCTTCGAAGACAGTGATAGAAAAGGATATATCTTCGTATTAAAACTAGACAAAATCATTCTCAGAAAACACTTTGTGATGTGTGTGTTCAACTCACAGAGTTTAACCTTTCTTTAATCGAGCAGTTTGGAAATACACTCTTTGTAAGTCTGCAGCTGGATAATTGTCCCTCTATGAGCCCTTCGTTGGAAACGGGATTTCCTCTTATAATGCTAGACAGAAGAATTCTCAGTAACTTCCTTGTGTTGTTTGTATTCAACTCACAGATTTGAACCTTCCTTTAGAGAGAGCAGATTTGAAACACTCTGTTTTTGGAATTTGCAAGTGCAGATTACAAGCGCTTCTAGGCCTATGGCAGAAAAGGAAATATCTTCGTATAAAAACTACACAGAATCATTCTCAACAACTACTTTGTGATGTGTGCGTTCAACTCACAGAGTTTAACCTTTCTTTTCATAGAGCAGTTTGGAAACACTCTGTTTGTAAAGTCTGCAGGTGCTTATTTGGACTTCTTTGAGGCCTTCGTTGGAAACGGGATTTCTTCATGTAATGCTAGACAGAAGAATTCTCAGTCACTTCTTTGTGTTGTGTGTATTCAAGTCACAGAGTTGAACCTTCCTTTACACAGAGCAGTTTTGAAAAACTCTTTCTGTGGAATTTGCAAGTGGAGATTTCAAGCGATTTGAGGCTAATCTTTGAAATGGAAATAGCTTCGTGTAAAAACTACACAGAATCATTCTCAGAAACTGCTTTGTTATGTGTGCGTTCAGCTCACAGAGTTCCACCTTTCTTTTCATTGAGCAGTTTGGAAAGACTCTGTCTGTAAAGTCTGCAAGTGAATACTTGGACCCCTTTGAGGACTTCGTTGGAAGCGGGATTTTTTCATTTACTGCTAGACAGAAGAATTCTCAGTAAATCCTTTGTGTTGTGTGTATTCAACTCACAGAGTGGAACCTTCCTTTATTCAGAGCAGTTTTGAAACACTCTTTTTGTGGAATTTGCAAGTGGAGATTTCAAGCGAATTCACGCCAATCTTAGACATGGAAACATCTTCGTATTAAAAGTACACAGAGTCATTCGCAGAAACTAGTTTGTGATGTGTGCCTTCAACTCACGGAGTTTAACCTTTCTTTTCATAGAGCAGTTTGGAAACACTCTATTTGTAAAGTCTGCAAGTGGATATTTGGACCTCTTTGAGGCCTTCGTTGGAAATGGGATTTCTTCATATAACGCTAGACAGAAGAATTCTCAGTAACTTCTTTGTGTTGTGTGTATTCAACTCACAGAGTTGAACCTTTCTTGAGAGAGAGCAGAGTTGAAACACTCTTTCTGTGGAATTTGCTAGTGCAGATTTCAAACGCTTCGAAGACAGTGATAGAAAAGGATATATCTTCGTATTAAAACTAGACAAAATCATTCTCAGAAAACACTTTGTGATGTGTGTGTTCAACTCACAGAGTTTAACCTTTCTTTAATCGAGCAGTTTGGAAATACACTCTTTGTAAGTCTGCAGCTGGATAATTGTCCCTCTATGAGCCCTTCGTTGGAAACGGGATTTCCTCTTATAATGCTAGACAGAAGAATTCTCAGTAACTACTTTGTGTTGTTTGTATTCAACTCACAGATTGAACCTTCCTTTAGAGAGAGCAGATTTGTAACACTCTGTTTTTGGAATTTGCAAGTGCAGATTACAAGCGCTTCTAGGCCTATGGCAGAAAAGGAAATATCTTCGTATAAAAACTACACAGAATCATTCTCAACAACTACTTTGTGATGTGTGCGTTCAACTCACAGAGTTTAACCTTTCTTTTCATAGAGCAGTTTGGAAACACTCTGTTTGTAAAGTCTGCAGGTGCTTATTTGGACTTCTTTGAGGCCTTCGTTGGAAACGGGATTTCTTCATGTAATGCTAGACAGAAGAATTCTCAGTCACTTCTTTGTGTTGTGTGTATTCAAGTCACAGAGTTGAACCTTCCTTTACACAGAGCAGTTTTGAAAAACTCTTTCTGTGGAATTTGCAAGTGGAGATTTCAAGCGATTTGAGGCTAATCTTTGAAATGGAAATAGCTTCGTGTAAAAACTACACAGGATCATTCTCAGAAACTGCTTTGTTATGTGTGCGTTCAGCTCACAGAGTTCCACCTTTCTTTTCATAGAGCAGTTTGGAAAGACTCTGTCTGTAAAGTCTGCAAGTGATTACTTGGACCCCTTTGAGGACTTCGTTGGAAGCGGGATTTTTTCATTTACTGCTAGACAGAAGAATTCTCAGTAAATCCTTTGTGTTGTGTGTATTCAACTCACAGAGTGGAACCTTCCTTTATTCAGAGCAGTTTTGAAACACTCTTTTTGTGGAATTTGCAAGTGGAGATTTCAAGCGAATTCACGCCAATCTTACACATGGAAACATCTTCGTATTAAAAGTACACAGAGTCATTCGCAGAAACTAGTTTGTGATGTGTGCCTTCAACTCACGGAGTTTAACCTTTCTTTTCATAGAGCAGTTTGGAAACACTCTATTTGTAAAGTCTGCAAGTGGATATTTGGACCTCTTTGAGGCCTTCGTTGGAAACGGGATTTCTTCATATAACGCTAGACAGAAGAATTCTCTGTAACTTCTTTGTGTTGTGTGTATTCCACTCACAGAGTTGAACCTTTCTTGAGAGAGAGCAGAGTTGAAACACTCTTTCTGTGGAATTTGCTAGTGCAGATTTCAAACGCTTCGAAGACAGTGATAGAAAAGGATATATCTTCGTATTAAAACTAGACAAAATCATTCTCAGAAAACACTTTGTGATGTGTGTGTTCAACTCACAGAGTTTAACCTTTCTGTAATCGAGCAGTTTGGAAATACACTCTTTGTAAGTCTGCAGGTGGATAATTGTCCCTCTATGAGCCCTTCGTTGGAAACGGGATTTCCTCATATAATGCTAGACAGAAAAATTCTCAGTAACTTCTTTGTGTTGTTTGTATTCAACTCACAGATTTGAACTTTCCTTTAGAGAGAGCAGATTTGAAACACTCTTCTTTTGGAAATTGTAAGTGCAGATTACAAGCGCTTCTAGGCCTATGGCAGAAAAGGAAATATCTTCGTGTAAAAACTACACAGAATCATTCTCAGCAACTACTTTGTGATGTGTGCGTTCAACTCACAGAGTTTAACCTTTCTTTTCATAGAGCAGTTTGGAAACACTCTGTTTGTAAAGTCTGCAGGTGCTTATTTGGACTTCTTTGAGGCCTTCGTTGGAAACGGGATTTCTTCATATAATGCTAGACAGAAGAATTCTCAGTCACTTCTTTGTGTTGTGTGTATTCAAGTCACAGAGTTGAACCTTCCTTTACACAGAGCAGTTTTGAAAAACTCTTTCTGTGGAATTTGCAAGTGGAGATTTCAAGCGATTTGAGGCTAATCTTTGAAATGGAAATATCTTCGTGTAAAAACTACACAGAATCATTCTCAGAAACTGCTTTGTTATGTGTGCGTTCAGCTCACAGAGTTCCACCTTTCTTTTCATAGAGCAGTTTGGAAAGACTCTGTCTGTAAAGTCTGCAAGTGATTACTTGGACCCCTTTGAGGACTTCGTTGGAAGCGGGATTTTTTCATTTACTGCTAGACAGAAGAATTCTCAGTAAATCCTTTGTGTTGTGTGTATTCAACTCACAGAGTGGAACCTTCCTTTATTCAGAGCAGTTTTGAAACACTCTTTTTGTGGAATTTGCAAGTGGAGATTTCAAGCGAATTCACGCCAATCTTAGACATGGAAACATCTTCGTATTAAAAGTACACAGAGTCATTCGCAGAAACTAGTTTGTGATGTGTGCCTTCAACTCACAGAGTTTAAGCTTTCTTTTCATAGAGCAGTTTGGAAACACTCTATTTGTAAAGTCTGCAAGTGGATATTTGGACGTCTTTGAGGCCTTCGTTGGAAACGGGATTTCTTCATATAACGCTAGACAGAAGAATTCTCTGTAACTTCTTTGTGTTGTGTGTATTCCACTCACAGAGTTGAACCTTTCTTGAGAGAGAGCAGAGTTGAAACACTCTTTCTGTGGAATTTGCTAGTGCAGATTTCAAACGCTTCGAAGACAGTGATAGAAAAGGATATATCTTCGTATTAAAACTAGACAAAATCATTCTCAGAAAACACTTTGTGATGTGTGTGTTCAACTCACAGAGTTTAACCTTTCTTTAATCGAGCAGTTTGGAAATGCACTCTTTGTAAGTCTGCAGGTGGATAATTGTCCCTCTATGAGCCCTTCGTTGGAAACGGGATTTCCTCATATAATGCTAGACAGAAGTATTCTCAGTAACTTCTTTGTGTTGTTTGTATTCAACTCACAGATTTGAAACTTCCTTTAGAGAGAGCAGATTTGAAACACTCTGTTTTTGGAATTTGCAAGTGCAGATTGCAAGCGCTTCTAGGCCTATGGCAGAAAAGGAAATATCTTCGTATAAAAACTACACAGAATCATCCTCAACAACTACTTTGTGATGTGTGCGTTCAACTCACAGAGTTTAACCTTTCTTTTCATAGAGCAGTTTGGAAACACTCTGTTTGTAAAGTCTGCAGGTGCTTATTTGGACTTCTTTGAGGCCTTCGTTGGAAACGGGATTTCTTCATATAATGCTAGACAGAAGAATTCTCAGTCACTTCTTTGTGTTGTGTGTATTCAAGTCACAGAGTTGAACCTTCCTTTACACAGAGCAGTTTTGAAAAACTCTTTCTGTGGAATTTGCAAGTGGAGATTTCAAGCGATTTGAGGCTAATCTTTGAAATGGAAATATCTTCGTGTAAAAACTACACAGAATCATTCTCAGAAACTGCTTTGTTATGTGTGCGTTCAGCTCACAGAGTTCCACCTTTCTTTTCATAGAGCAGTTTGGAAAGACTCTGTCTGTAAAGTCTGCAAGTGATTACTTGGACCCCTTTGAGGACTTCGTTGGAAGCGGGATTTTTTCATTTACTGCTAGACAGAAGAATTCTCAGTAAATCCTTTGTGTTGTGTGTATTCAACTCACAGAGTGGAACCTTCCTTTATTCAGAGCAGTTTTGAAACACTCTTTTTGTGGAATTTGCAAGTGGAGATTTCAAGCGAATTCACGCCAATCTTAGACATGGAAACATCTTCGTATTAAAAGTACACAGAGTCATTCGCAGAAACTAGTTTGTGATGTGTGCCTTCAACTCACGGAGTTTAACCTTTCTTTTCATAGAGCAGTTTGGAAACACTCTATTTGTAAAGTCTGCAAGTGGATATTTGGACCTCTTTGAGGCCTTCGTTGGAAACGGGATTTCTTCATATAACGCTAGACAGAAGAATTCTCAGTAACTTCTTTGTGTTGTGTGTATTCAACTCACAGAGTTGAACCTTTCTTGAGAGAGAGCAGAGTTGAAACACTCTGTTTGTGGAATTTGCTAATGCAGATTTCAAACGCTTCGAAGACAGTGATAGAAAAGGATATATCTTCGTATTAAAACTAGACAAAATCATTCTCAGAAAACACTTTGTGATGTGTGTGTTCAACTCACAGAGTTTAACCTTTCTTTAATCGAGCAGTTTGGAAATACACTCTTTGTAAGTCTGCAGCTGGATAATTGTCCCTCTATGAGCCCTTCGTTGGAAACAGGATTTCCTCTTATAATGCTAGACAGAAGAATTCTCAGTAACTTCTTTGTGTTGTTTGTATTCAACTCACAGATTTGAACCTTCCTTTAGAGAGAGCAGATTTGAAACACTCTGTTTTTGGAATTTGCAAGTGCAGATTACAAGCGCTTCTAGGCCTATGGCAGAAAAGGAAATATCTTCGTATAAAAACTACACAGAATCATTCTCAACAACTACTTTGTGATGTGTGCGTTCAACTCACAGAGTTTAACCTTTCTTTTCATAGAGCAGTTTGGAAACACTCTGTTTGTAAAGTCTGCAGGTGCTTATTTGGACTTCTTTGAGGCCTTCGTTGGAAACGGGATTTCTTCATGTAATGCTAGACAGAAGAATTCTCAGTCACTTCTTTGTGTTGTGTGTATTCAAGTCACAGAGTTGAACCTTCCTTTACACAGAGCAGTTTTGAAAAACTCTTTCTGTGGAATTTGCAAGTGGAGATTTCAAGCGATTTGAGGCTAATCTTTGAAATGGAAATATCTTCGTGTAAAAACTACACAGAATCATTCTCAGAAACTGCTTTGTTATGTGTGCGTTCAGCTCACAGAGTTCCACCTTTCTTTTCATAGAGCAGTTTGGAAAGACTCTGTCTGTAAAGTCTGCAAGTGATTACTTGGACCCCTTTGAGGACTTCGTTGGAAGCGGGATTTTTTCATTTACTGCTAGACAGAAGAATTCTCAGTAAATCCTTTGTGTTGTGTGTATTCAACTCACAGAGTGGAACCTTCCTTTATTCAGAGCAGTTTTGAAACACTCTTTTTGTGGAATTTGCAAGTGGAGATTTCAAGCGAATTCACGCCAATCTTAGACACGGAAACATCTTCGTATTAAAAGTACACAGAGTCATTCGTAGAAACTAGTTTGTGATGTGTGCCTTGAACTCACAGAGTTTAACCTTTCTTTTCATAGAGCAGTTGGGAAACACTCTATTTGTAAAGTCTGCAAGTGGATATTTGGACCTCTTTGAGGCCTTCGTTGGAAACGGGATTTCTTCATATAACGCTAGACAGAAGAATTCTCAGTAACTTCTTTGTGTTGTGTGTATTCAACTCACAGAGTTGAACCTTTCTTTAGAGGGAGCAGAGGTGAAACAGTCTTTTTGTGGAATTTGCTAGTGTAGATTTCAAACGCTTCGAAGACAGTGATAGAAAAGGATATATCTTCGTATTAAAAGTAGACAAAATCATTCTCAGAAAACTCTTTGTGATGTGTGTGTTCAACTCACAGAGTTTAACCTTTCTTTAATCGAGCAGTTTGGAAATACACTCTTTGTAAGTCTGCAGGTGGATATTTGGCCCTCTTTGAGCCCTTCGTTGGAAACGGGATTTCCTCATATAATGCTAGACAGAAGAATTCTCAGTAACTTCTTTGTGTTGTTTGTATTCAACACACAGATTTGAACCTTCCTTTAGAGAGAGCAGATTTGAAACACTCTGTTTTTGGAATTTGCAAGTGCAGATTTCAAGCGCTTCTAGGCCTATGGCAGAAAAGGAAATATCTTCGTATAAAAACTACACAGAATCATTCTCAACAACTACTTTGTGATGTGTGCGTTCAACTCACAGAGTTTAACCTTTCTTTTCATAGAGCAGTTTGGAAACACTCTGTTTGTAAAGCCTGCAAGTGCTTTTTTGGACTTCATTGAGGCCTTCGTTGGAAACGGGATTTCTTCATATAATGCTAGACAGAAGAATTCTCAGTCACTTCTTTGTGTTGTGTGTATTCAAGTCACAGAGTTGAACCTTCCTTTAGACAGAGCAGTTTTGAAAAATTCTTTCTGTGGAGTTTGCAAGTGGAGATTTCAAGCGATTTGAGGCTAATCTTTGAAATGGAAATATCTTCGTGTAAAAACTACACAGAATCATTCTCAGAAACTGCTTTGTCATCTGTGCGTTCAGTTCACAGAGTTTCACCTTTCTCTTCATAGAGCAGTTTGGAAAGACTCTGTCTGTAAAGTCTGCAAGTGATTAGTTAGACCCCTTTGAGGCGTTCGTTGGAAGAGGGATTTCTCATTTACTGCTAGACAGAAGAATTCTCAGTAAATCCTTTGTGTTGTGTGTATTCAACTCACAGAGTGGAACCTTCCTTTATTCAGAGCAGTTTTCAAACACTCTTTTTGTGGAATTTGCAAGTGGAGATTTCAAGCGATTTGACGCCAATCTTAGACATGGAAATATCTTCATATTAAAAGTACACAGAGTCATTCGTAGAAACTAGTTTGTGATGTGTGCCTTCAACTCACAGAGTTTGACCTTTCTTTTCATAGAGCAGTTGGGAAACACTCTATTTGTAAAGTCTGCAAGTGGATATTTGGACCTCTTTGAGGCCTTCGTTGGAAACGGGATTTCTTCATATAACGCTAGACAGAAGAATTCTCAGTAACTTCTTTGTGTTGTTTGTATTCAACTCACAGATTTGAACCTTCCTTTGGAGAGAGCAGATTTGAAACACTCTGTTTTTGGAATTTGCAAGTGCAGATTGCAAGCGCTTCTAGGCCTATGGCAGAAAAGGAAATATCTTCGTATAAAAACTACACAGAATCATTCTCAACAACTACTTTGTGATGTGTGCGTTCAACTCACAGAGTTTAACCTTTCTTTTCATAGAGCAGTTTGGAAACACTCTGTTTGTAAAGTCTGCAGGTGCTTATTTGGACTTCTTTGAGGCCTTCGTTGGAAACGGGATTTCTTCATATAATGCTAGACAGAAGAATTCTCAGTCACTTCTTTGTGTTGTGTGTATTCAAGTCACAGAGTTGAACTTTCCTTTACACAGAGCAGTTTTGAAAAACTCTTTCTGTGGAATTTGCAAGTGGAGATTTCAAGCGATTTGAGGCTAATACTTTGAAATGGAAATAGCTTCGTGTAAAAACTACACAGAATCATTCTCAGAAACTGCTTTGTCATCTGTGCGTTCAGTTCACAGAGTTTCACCTTTCTCTTCATAGAGCAGTTTGGAAAGACTCTGTCTGTAAAGTCTGCAAGTGATTAGTTAGACCCCTTTGAGGCCTTCGTTGGAAGCGGGATTTCTCATTTACTGCTAGACAGAAAGAATTCTCAGTAAATCCTTTGTGTTGTGTGTATTCAACTCACAGAGTGGAACCTTCCTTTATTCAGAGCAGTTTTGAAACACTCTTTTTGTGGAATTTGCAAGTGGAGATTTCAAGCGAATTCACGCCAATCTTAGACATGGAAACATCTTCGTATTAAAAGTACACAGAGTCATTCGCAGAAACTAGTTTGTGATGTGTGCCTTCAACTCACGGAGTTTAACCTTTCTTTTCATAGAGCAGTTTGGAAACACTCTATTTGTAAAGTCTGCAAGTGGATATTTGGACCTCTTTGAGGCCTTCGTTGGAAACGGGATTTCTTCATATAACGCTAGACAGAAGAATTCTCAGTAACTTCTTTGTGTTGTGTGTATTCAACTCACAGAGTTGAACCTTTCTTGAGAGAGAGCAGAGTTGAAACACTCTGTTTGTGGAATTTGCTAGTGCAGATTTCAAACGCTTCGAAGACAGTGATAGAAAAGGATATATCTTCGTATTAAAACTAGACAAAATCATTCTCAGAAAACACTTTGTGATGTGTGTGTTCAACTCACAGAGTTTAACCTTTCTTTAATCGAGCAGTTTGGAAATACACTCTTTGTAAGTCTGCAGCTGGATAATTGTCCCTCTATGAGCCCTTCGTTGGAAACAGGATTTCCTCTTATAATGCTAGACAGAAGAATTCTCAGTAACTTCTTTGTGTTGTTTGTATTCAACTCACAGATTTGAACCTTCCTTTAGAGAGAGCAGATTTGAAACACTCTGTTTTTGGAATTTGCAAGTGCAGATTACAAGCGCTTCTAGGCCTATGGCAGAAAAGGAAATATCTTCGTATAAAAACTACACAGAATCATTCTCAACAACTACTTTGTGATGTGTGCGTTCAACTCACAGAGTTTAACCTTTCTTTTCATAGAGCAGTTTGGAAACACTCTGTTTGTAAAGTCTGCAGGTGCTTATTTGGACTTCTTTGAGGCCTTCGTTGGAAACGGGATTTCTTCATGTAATGCTAGACAGAAGAATTCTCAGTCACTTCTTTGTGTTGTGTGTATTCAAGTCACAGAGTTGAACCTTCCTTTACACAGAGCAGTTTTGAAAAACTCTTTCTGTGGAATTTGCAAGTGGAGATTTCAAGCGATTTGAGGCTAATCTTTGAAATGGAAATAGCTTCGTGTAAAAACCACACAGAATCATTGTCAGAAACTGCTTTGTTATGTGTGCGTTCAGCTCACAGAGTTCCACCTTTCTTTTCATAGAGCAGTTTGGAAAGACTCTGTCTGTAAAGTCTGCAAGTGATTACTTGGACCCCTTTGAGGACTTCGTTGGAAGCGGGATTTTTTCATTTACTGCTAGACAGAAGAATTCTCAGTAAATCCTTTGTGTTGTGTGTATTCAACTCACAGAGTGGAACCTTCCTTTATTCAGAGCAGTTTTGAAACACTCTTTGTGGAATTTGCAAGTGGAGATTTCAAGCGAATTCACGCCAATCTTAGACATGGAAATATCTTCGTATTAAAAGTACACAGAGTCATTCGCAGAAACTAGTTTGTGATGTGTGCCTTCAACTCACAGAGTTTAACCTTTCTTTTCATAGAGCAGTTTGGAAACACTCTATTTGTAAGGTCTGCAAGTGGATATTTGGACCACTTTGAGGCCTTCGTTGGAAACGGGATTTCTTCATATAACGCTAGACAGAAGAATTCTCAGTAACTTCTTTGTGTTGTGTGTATTCAACTCACAGAGTTGAACCTTTCTTGAGAGAGAGCAGAGTTGAAACACTCTTTTTGTGGAATTTGCTAGTGCAGATTTCAAACGCTTCGAAGACAGTGATAGAAAAGGATATATCTTCGTATTAAAACTAGACAAAATCATTCTCAGAAAACACTTTGTGATGTGTGTGTTCAACTCACAGAGTTTAACCTTTCTTTAATCGAGCAGTTTGGAAATACACTCTTTGTAAGTCTGCAGCTGGATAATTGTCCCTCTATGAGCCCTTCGTTGGAAACGGGATTTCCTCATATAATGCTAGACAGAAGAATTCTCAGTAACTTCTTTGTGTTGTTTGTATTCAACTCACAGATTTGAACCTTCCTTTGGAGAGAGCAGATTTGAAACACTCTGTTTTTGGAATTTGCAAGTGCAGATTTCAAGCGCTTCTAGGCCTATGGCAGAAAAGGAAATATCTTCGTATAAAAACTACACAGAATCATTCTCAACAACTACTTTGTGATGTGTGCGTTCAACTCACAGAGTTTAACCTTTCTTTTCATAGAGCAGTTTGGAAACACTCTGTTTGTAAAGTCTGCAGGTGCTTATTTGGACTTCTTTGAGGCCTTCGTTGGAAACGGGATTTCTTCATGTAATGCTAGACAGAAGAATTCTCAGTCACTTCTTTGTGTTGTGTGTATTCAAGTCACAGAGTTGAACCTTCCTTTACACAGAGCAGTTTTGAAAAACTCTTTCTGTGGAATTTGCAAGTGGAGATTTCAAGCGATTTGAGGCTAATCTTTGAAATGGAAATAGCTTCGTGTAAAAACTACACAGAATCATTCTCAGAAACTGCTTTGTTATGTGTGCGTTCAGCTCACAGAGTTCCACCTTTCTTTTCATAGAGCAGTTTGGAAAGACTCTGTCTGTAAAGTCTGCAAGTGATTACTTGGACCCCTTTGAGGACTTCGTTGGAAGCGGGATTTTTTCATTTACTGCTAGACAGAAGAATTCTCAGTAAATCCTTTGTGTTGTGTGTATTCAACTCACAGAGTGGAACCTTCCTTTATTCAGAGCAGTTTTGAAACACTCTTTTTGTGGAAATTGCAAGTGGAGATTTCAAGCGAATTCACGCCAATCTTAGACATGGAAACATCTTCGTATTAAAAGTACACAGAGTCATTCGCAGAAACTAGTTTGTGATGTGTGCCTTCAACTCACGGAGTTTAACCTTTCTTTTCATAGAGCAGTTTGGAAACACTCTATTTGTAAAGTCTGCAAGTGGATATTTGGACCTCTTTGAGGCCTTCGTTGGAAACGGGATTTCTTCATATAACGCTAGACAGAAGAATTCTCAGTAACTTCTTTGTGTTGTGTGTATTCCACTCACAGAGTTGAACCTTTCTTGAGAGAGAGCAGAGTTGAAACACTCTTTCTGTGGAATTTGCTAGTGCAGATTTCAAACGCTTCGAAGACAGTGATAGAAAAGGATATATCTTCGTATTAAAACTAGACAAAATCATTCTCAGAAAACACTTTGTGATGTGTGTGTTCAACTCACAGAGTTTAACCTTTCTTTAATCGAGCAGTTTGGAAATACACTCTTTGTAAGTCTGCAGCTGGATAATTGTCCCTCTATGAGCCCTTCGTTGGAAACGGGATTTCCTCTTATAATGCTAGACAGAAGAATTCTCAGTAACTTCTTTGTGTTGTTTGTATTCAACTCACAGATTTGAACCTTCCTTTAGAGAGAGCAGATTTGAAACACTCTGTTTTTGGAATTTGCAAGTGGAGATTACAAGCGCTTCTAGGCCTATGGCAGAAAAGGAAATATCTTCGTATAAAAACTACACAGAATCATTCTCAACAACTACTTTGTGATGTGTGCGTTCAACTCACAGAGTTTAACCTTTCTTTTCATAGAGCAGTTTGGAAACACTCTGTTTGTAAAGTCTGCAGGTGCTTATTTGGACTTCTTTGAGGCCTTCGTTGGAAACGGGATTTCTTCATATAATGCTAGACAGAAGAATTCTCAGTCACTTCTTTGTGTTGTGTGTATTCAAGTCACAGAGTTGAACCTTCCTTTACACAGAGCAGTTTTGAAAAACTCTTTCTGTGGAATTTGCAAGTGGAGATTTCAAGCGATTTGAGGCTAATCTTTGAAATGGAAATATCTTCGTGTAAAAACTACACAGAATCATTCTCAGAAACTGCTTTGTTATGTGTGCGTTCAGCTCACAGAGTTCCACCTTTGTTTTCATACAGCAGTTTGGAAAGACTCTGTAAAGTCTGCAAGTGATTACTTGGACCCCTTTGAGGACTTCGTTGGAAGCGGGATTTTTTCATTTACTGCTAGACAGAAGAATTCTCAGTAAATCCTTTGTGTTGTGTGTATTCAACTCACAGAGTGGAACCTTCCTTTATTCAGAGCAGTTTTGAAACACTCTTTTTGTGGAATTTGCAAGTGGAGATTTCAAGCGAATTCACGCCAATCTTAGACATGGAAACATCTTCGTATTAAAAGTACACAGAGTCATTCGCAGAAACTAGTTTGTGATGTGTGCCTTCAACTCACAGAGTTTAACCTTTCTTTTCATAGAGCAGTTTGGAAACACTCTATTTGTAAAGTCTGCAAGTGGATATTTGGACCTCTTTGAGGCCTTCGTTGGAAACGGGATTTCTTCATATAACGCTAGACAGAAGAATTCTCAGTAACTTCTTTGTGTTGTGTGTATTCCACTCACAGAGTTGAACCTTTCTTGAGAGAGAGCAGAGTTGAAACACTCTTTCTGTGGAATTTGCTAGTGCAGATTTCAAACGCTTCGAAGACAGTGATAGAAAAGGATATATCTTCGTATTTAAACTAGACAAAATCATTCTCAGAAAACACTTTGTGATGTGTGTGTTCAACTCACAGAGTTTAACCTTTCTTTAATCGAGCAGTTTGGAAATACACTCTTTGTAAGTCTGCAGCTGGATAATTGTCCCTCTATGAGCCCTTCGTTGGAAACGGGATTTCCTCATATAATGCTAGACAGAAGAATTCTCAGTAACTTCTTTGTGTTCTTTGTATTCAACTCACAGATTTGAACCTTCCTTTGGAGAGAGCAGATTTGAAACACTCTGTTTTTGGAATTTGCAAGTGCAGATTGCAAGCGCTTCTAGGCCTATGGCAGAAAAGGAAATATGTTCGTATAAAAACTACACAGAATCATTCTCAACAACTACTTTGTGATGTGTGCGTTCAACTCACAGAGTTTAACCTTTCTTTTCATAGAGCAGTTTGGAAACACTCTGTTTGTAAAGTCTGCAGGTGCTTATTTGGACTTCTTTGAGGCCTTCGTTGGAAACGGGATTTCTTCATATAATGCTAGACAGAAGAATTCTCAGTCACTTCTTTGTGTTGTGTGTATTCAAGTCAGAGAGTTGAACCTTCCTTTACACAGAGCAGTTTTGAAAAACTCTTTCTGTGGAATTTGCAAGTGGAGATTTCAAGCGATTTGAGGCTAATCTTTGAAATGGAAATATCTTCGTGTACAAACTACACAGAATCATTGTCAGAAACTGCTTTGTTATGTGTGCGTTCAGCTCACAGAGTTCCACCTTTCTTTTCATAGAGCAGTTTGGAAAGACTCTGTCTGTTATGTCTGCAAGTGATTACTTCGACCCCTTTGAGGACTTCGTTGGAAGCGGGATTTTTTCATTTACTGCTAGACAGAAGAATTCTCAGTAAATCCTTTGTGTTGTGTGTATTCAACTCACAGAGTGGAACCTTCCTTTATTCAGAGCAGTTTTGAAACACTCTTTTTGTGGAATTTGCAAGTGGAGATTTCAAGCGAATTCACGCCAATCTTAGACATGGAAACATCTTCGTATTAAAAGTACACAGAGTCATTCGCAGAAACTAGTTTGTGATGTGTGCCTTCAACTCACGGAGTTTAACCTTTCTTTTCATAGAGCAGTTTGGAAACACTCTATTTGTTAAGTCTGCAAGTGGATATTTGGACCTCTTTGAGGCCTTCGTTGGAACCGGGATTTCTTCATATAACGCTAGACAGAAGAATTCTCAGTAACTTCTTTGTGTTGTGTGTTTTCAACTCACAGAGTTGAACCTTTCTTGAGAGAGAGCAGAGTTGAAACACTCTTTCTGTGGAATTTGCTAGTGCAGATTTCAAACGCTTCGAAGACAGTGATAGAAAAGGATATATCTTCGTATTAAAACTAGACAAAATCATTCTCAGAAAACACTTTGTGATGTGTGTGTTCAACTCACAGAGTTTAACCTTTCTTTAATCGAGCAGTTTGGAAATACACTCTTTGTAAGTCTGCAGCTGGATAATTGTCCCTCTATGAGCCCTTCGTTGGAAACGGGATTTCCTCTTATAATGCTAGACAGAAGAATTCTCAGTAACTTCTTTGTGTTGTTTGTATTCAACTCACAGATTTGAACCTTCCTTTAGAGAGAGCAGATTTGAAACACTCTGTTTTTGGAATTTGCAAGTGCAGATTTCAAGCGCTTCTAGGCCTATGGCAGAAAAGCAAATATCTTCGTATAAAAACTACACAGAATCATTCTCAACAACTACTTTGTGATGTGTGCGTTCAACTCACAGAGTTTAACCTTTCTTTTCATAGAGCAGTTTGGAAACACTCTGTTTGTAAAGTCTGCAGGTGCTTATTTGGACTTCTTTGAGGCCTTCGTTGGAAACGGGATTTCTTCATATAATGCTAGACAGAAGAATTCTCAGTCACTTCTTTGTGTTGCGTGTATTCAAGTCACAGAGTTGAACCTTCCTTTACACAGAGCAGTTTTGAAAAACTCTTTCTGTGGAATTTGCAAGTGGAGATTTCAAGCGATTTGAGGCTAATCTTTGAAATGGAAATAGCTTCGTGTAAAAACTACACAGAATCATTGTCAGAAACTGCTTTGTTATGTGTGCGTTCAGCTCACAGAGTTCCACCTTTCTTTTCATAGAGCAGTTTGGAAAGACTCTGTCTGTAAAGTCTGCAAGTGATTACTTGGACCCCTTTGAGGACTTCGTTGGAAGCGGGATTTTTTCATTTACTGCTAGACAGAAGAATTCTCAGTAAATCCTTTGTGTTGTGTGTATTCAACTCACAGAGTGGAACCTTCCTTTATTCAGAGCAGTTTTGAAACACTCTTTTTGTGGAATTTGCAAGTGGAGATTTCAAGCGAATTCACGCCAATCTTAGACATGGAAACATCTTCGTATTAAAAGTACACAGAGTCATTCGCAGAAACTAGTTTGTGATGTGTGCCTTCAACTCACGGAGTTTAACCTTTCTTTTCATAGAGCAGTTTGGAAACACTCTATTTGTAAAGTCTGCAAGTGGATATTTGGACCTCTTTGAGGCCTTCGTTGGAAACGGGATTTCTTCATATAACGCTAGACAGAAGAATTCTCAGTAACTTCTTTGTGTTGTGTGTATTCCACTCACAGAGTTGAACCTTTCTTGAGAGAGAGCAGAGTTGAAACACTCTGTTTGTGGAATTTGCTAGTGCAGATTTCAAACGCTTCGAAGACAGTGATAGAAAAGGATATATCTTCGTATTAAAACTAGACAAAATAATTCTCAGAAAACACTTTGTGATGTGTGTGTTCAACTCACAGAGTTTAACCTTTCTTTAATCGAGCAGTTTGGAAATACACTCTTTGTAAGTCTGCAGCTGGATAATTGTCCCTCTATGAGCCCTTCGTTGGAAACGGGATTTCCTCTTATAATGCTAGACAGAAGAATTCTCAGTAACTTCTTTGTGTTGTTTGTATTCAACTCACAGATTTGAACCTTCCTTTGGAGAGAGCAGATTTGAAACACTCTGTTTTTGGAATTTGCAAGTGCAGATTGCAAGCGCTTCTAGGCCTATGGCAGAAAAGGAAATATCTTCGTATAAAAACTACACAGAATCATTCTCAACAACTACTTTGTGATGTGTGCGTTCAACTCACAGAGTTTAACCTTTCTTTTCATAGAGCAGTTTGGAAACACTCTGTTTGTAAAGTCTGCAGGTGCTTATTTGGACTTCTTTGAGGCCTTCGTTGGAAACGGGATTTCTTCATATAATGCTAGACAGAAGAATTCTCAGTCACTTCTTTGTGTTGTGTGTATTCAAGTCACAGAGTTGAACCTTCCTTTACACAGAGCAGTTTTGAAAAACTCTTTCTGTGGAATTTGCAAGTGGAGATTTCAAGCGATTTGAGGCTAATCTTTGAAATGGAAATATCTTCGTGTAAAAACTACACAGAATCATTCTCAGAAACTGCTTTGTTATGTGTGCGTTCAGCTCACAGAGTTCCACCTTTCTTTTCATAGAACAGTTTGGAAAGACTCTGTCTGTAAAGTCTGCAAAGTGATTACTTGGACCCCTTTGAGGACTTCGTTGGAAGCGGGATTTTTTCATTTACTGCTAGACAGAAGAATTCTCAGTAAATCCTTTGTGTTGTGTGTATTCAACTCACAGAGTGGAACCTTCCTTTATTCAGAGCAGTTTTGAAACACTCTTTTTGTGGAATTTGCAAGTGGAGATTTCAAGCGAATTCACGCCAATCTTAGACATGGAAACATCTTCGTATTAAAAGTACACAGAGTCATTCGCAGAAACTAGTTTGTGATGTGTGCCTTCAACTCACAGAGTTTAACCTTTCTTTTCATAGAGCATTTTGGAAACACTCTATTTGTAAAGTCTGCAAGTGGATATTTGGACCTCTTTGAGGCCTTCGTTGGAAACGGGATTTCTTCATGTAACGCTAGACAGAAGAATTCTCAGTAACTTCTTTGTGTTGTGTGTATTCAACTCACAGAGTTGAACCTTTCTTTAGAGAGAGCAGAGTTGAAACACTCTGTTTTTGGAATTTGCAAGTGCAGATTTCAAGCGATTCTAGGCCTATGGCAGAAAAGGAAATATCTTCGTATAAAAACTACACAGAATCTTTCTCAACAACTACTTTGTGATGTGTGCGTTCAACTCACAGAGTTTAACCTTTCTTTTCATAGAGCAGTTTGGAAACACTCTGTTTGTAAAGCCTGCAAGTGCTTTTTTGGACTTCATTGAGGCCTTCGTTGGAAACGGGATTTCTTCATATAATGCTAGACAGAAGAATTCTCAGTCACTTCTTTGTGTTGTGTGTATTCAAGTCACAGAGTTGAACCTTCCTTTAGACAGAGCAGTTTTGAAAAATTCTTTCTGTGTAATTTGCAAGTGGAGATTTCAAGCGATTTGAGGCTAATCTTTGAAATGGAAATATCTTCGTGTAAAAACTACACAGAATCATTCTCAGAAACTGCTTTGTCATCTGTGCGTTCAGTTCACAGAGTTTCACCTTTCTCTTCATAGAGCAGTTTGGAAAGACTCTGTCTGTAAAGTCTGCAAGTGATTAGTTAGACCCCTTTGAGGCCTTCGTTGGAAGTGGGATTTCTCATTTACTGCTAGACAGAAGAATTCTCAGTAAATTCTTTGTGTTGTGTGTATTCAACTCACAGAGTGGAACCTTCCTTTATTCAGAACAGTTTTGAAACACTCTTTTTGTGGAATTTGCAAGTGGAGATTTCAAGCGATTTGACGCCAATCTTAGACATGGAAATATCTTCATATTAAAAGTACACAGAGTCATTCGTAGAAACTAGTTTGTGATGTGTGCCTTCAACTCACAAGAGTTTAACCTTTCTTTTCATAGAGCAGTTGGGAAACACTCTATTTGTAAAGTCTGCAAGTGGATATTTGGACCTCTTTGAGGCCTTCGTTGGAAACGGGATTTCTTCATATAACGCTAGACAGAAGAATTCTCAGTAACTTCTTTGTGTTGTGTGTATTCAACTCACAGAGTTGAACCTTTCTTTAGAGGGAGCAGAGGTGAAACACTCTTTTTCTGGAATTTGCTAGTGTAGATTTCAAACGCTTCGAAGACAGTGATAGAGAAGGATATATCTTCGTATTAAAAGTAGACAAAATCATTCTCAGAAAACTCTTTGTGATGTGTGTGTTCAACTCACAGAGTTTAACCTTTCTTTAATCGAGCAGTTTGGAAATACACTCTTTGTAAGTCTGCAGGTGGATATTTGGCCCTCTTTGAGCCCTTCGTTGGAAACGGGATTTCCTCATATAATGCTAGACAGAAAAATTCTCAGTAACTTCTTTGTGTTGTTTGTATTCAACACACAGATTTGAACCTTCCTTTAGAGAGAGCAGATTTGAAACACTCTGTTTTTGGAATTTGCAAGTGCAGATTTCAAGCGCTTCTAGGCCTATGGCAGAAAAGGAAATATCTTCGTATAAAAACTACACAGAGTCATTCGCAGAAACTAGTTTGTGATGTGTGCGTTCAACTCACAGAGTTTAACCTTTCTTTTCATAGAGCAGTTTGGAAACACTCTGTTTGTAAAGTCTGCAGGTGCTTATTTGGACTTCTTTGAGGCCTTCGTTGGAAACGGGATTTCTTCATATAATGCTAGACAGAAGAATTCTCAGTCACTTCTTTGTGTTGTGTGTATTCAAGTCACAGAGTTGAACCTTCCTTTACACAGAGCAGTTTTGAGAAACTCTTTCTGTGGAATTTGCAAGTGGAGATTTCAAGCGATTTGAGGCTAATCTTTGAAATGGAAATATCTTCGTGCAAAAACTACACAGAATCATTCTCAGAAACTGCTTTGTTATGTGTGCGTTCAGCTCACAGAGTTCCACCTTTCTTTTCATAGAGCAGTTTGGAAAGACTCCGTCTGTAAAGTCTGCAAATGATTACTTGGACCCCTTTGAGGACTTCGTTGGAAGCGGGATTTTTTCATTTACTGCTAGACAGAAGAATTCTCAGTAAATCCTTTGTGTTGTGTGTATTAAACTCACAGAGTGGAACCTTCCTTTATTCAGAGCAGTTTTGAAACACTCTTTTGGTGGAATTTGCAAGTGGAGATTTCAAGCGAATTCACGCCAATCTTAGACATGGAAACATCTTCGTATTAAAAGTACACAGAGTCATTCGCAGAAACTAGTTTGTGATGTGTGCCTTCAACTCACGGAGTTTAACCTTTCTTTTCATAGAGCAGTTTGGAAACACTCTATTTGTAAAGTCTGCAAGTGGATATTTGGACCTCTTTGAGGCCTTCGTTGGAAACGGGATTTCTTCATATAACGCTAGACAGAAGAATTCTCAGTAACTTCTTTGTGTTGTGTGTATTCCACTCACAGAGTTGAACCTTTCTTGAGAGAGAGCAGAGTTGAAACACTCTGTTTGTGGAATTTGCTAGTGCAGATTTCAAACGCTTCGAAGACAGTGATAGAAAAGGATATATCTTCGTATTAAAACTAGACAAAATCATTCTCAGAAAACACTTTGTGATGTGTGTGTTCAACTCACAGAGTTTAACCTTTCTTTAATCGAGCAGTTTGGAAATACACTCTTTGTAAGTCTGCAGCTGGATAATTGTCCCTCTATGAGCCCTTCGTTGGAAACGGGATTTCCTCTTATAATGCTAGACAGAAGAATTCTCAGTAACTTCTTTGTGTTGTTTGTATTCAACTCACAGATTTGAACCTTCCTTTGGAGAGAGCAGATTTGAAACACTCTGTTTTTGGAATTTGCAAGTGCAGATTTCAAGCGCTTCTAGGCCTATGGCAGTAAATTAAATATCTTCGTATAAAAACTACACAGAATCATTCTCAACAACTACTTTGTGATGTGTGCGTTCACCTCACAGAGTTTAACCTTTCTTTTCATAGAGCAGTTTGGAAACACTCTGTTTGTAAAGTCTGCAGGTGCTTATTTGGACTTCTTTGAGGCCTTCGTTGGAAACGGGATTTCTCATATAATGCTAGACAGAAGAATTCTCAGTCACTTCTTTGTGTTGTGTGTATTCAAGTCACAGAGTTGAACCTTCCTTTACACAGAGCAGTTTTGAAAAACTCTTTCTGCGGAATTTGCAAGTGGAGATTTCAAGCGATTTGAGGCTAATCTTTGAAATGGAAATATCTTCGTGTAAAAACTACACAGAATCATTCTCAGAAACTGCTTTGTTATGTGTGCGTTCAGCTCACAGAGTTCCACCTTTCTTTTCATAGAGCAGTTTGGAAAGACTCTGTCTGTAAAGTCTGCAAGTGATTACTTGGACCCCTTTGAGGACTTCTTTGGAAGCGGGATTTTTTCATTTACTGCTATACAGAAGAATTCTCAGTAAATCCTTTGTGTTGTGTGTATTCAACTCTCAGAGTGGAACCTTCCTTTATTCAGAGCAGTTTTGAAACACTCTTTTTGTGGAATTTGCAAGTGGAGATTTCAAGCGAATTCACGCCAATCTTAGACATGGAAACATCTTCGTATTAAAAGTACACAGAGTCATTCGCAGAAACTAGTTTGTGATGTGTGCCTTCAACTCACAGAGTTTAACCTTTCTTTTCATAGAGCAGTTTGGAAACACTCTATTTGTAAAGTCTGCAAGTGGATATTTGGACGTCTTTGAGGCCTTCGTTGGAAACGGGATTTCTTCATATAACGCTAGACAGAAGAATTCTCAGTAACTTCTTTGTGTTGTGTGTATTCCACTCACAGAGTTGAACCTTTCTTGAGAGAGAGCAGAGTTGAAACACTCTGTTTGTGGAATTTGCTAGTGCCGATTTCAAACGCTTCGAAGACAGTGATAGAAAAGGATATATCTTCGTATTAAAACTAGACAAAATCATTCTCAGAAAACACTTTGTGATGTGTGTGTTCAACTCACAGAGTTTAACCTTTCTTTAATCGAGCAGTTTGGAAATACACTCTTTGTAAGTCTGCAGCTGGATAATTGTCCCTCTATGAGCCCTTCGTTGGAAACGGGATTTCCTCTTATAATGCTAGACAGAAGAATTCTCAGTAACTTCTTTGTGTTGTTTGTATTCAACTCACAGATTTGAAACTTCCTTTAGAGAGAGCAGATTTGAAACACTCTGTTTTTGGAATTTGCAAGTGCAGATTAAAAGCGCTTCTAGGCCTATGGCAGAAAAGGAAATATCTTCGTATAAAAACTACACAGAATCATTCTCAACAACTACTTTGTGATGTGTGCGTTCAACTCACAGAGTTTAACCTTTCGTTTCATAGAGCAGTTTGGAAACACTCTGTTTGTAAAGTCTGCAGGTGCTTATTTGGACTTCTTTGAGGCCTTCGTTGGAAACGGGATTTCTTCATATAATGCTAGACAGAAGAATTCTCAGTCACTTCTTTGTGTTGTGTGTATTCAAGTCACAGAGTTGAACCTTCCTTTACACAGAGCAGTTTTGAAAAACTCTTTCTGTGGAATTTGCAAGTGGAGATTTCAAGCGATTTGAGGCTAATCTTTGAAATGGAAATATCTTCGTGTAAAAACTACACAGAATCATTCTCAGAAACTGCTTTGTTATGTGTGCGTTCAGCTCACAGAGTTCCACCTTTCTTTTCATAGAGCAGTTTGGAAAGACTCTGTCTGTAAAGTCTGCAAGTGATTACTTGGACCCCTTTGAGGACTTCGTTGGAAGCGGGATTTTTTCATTTACTGCTAGACAGAAGAATTCTCAGTAAATCCTTTGTGTTGTGTGTATTCAACTCACAGAGTGGAACCTTCCTTTATTCAGAGCAGTTTTGAAACACTCTTTTTGTGGAATTTGCAAGTGGAGATTTCAAGCGAATTCACGCCAATCTTAGACATGGAAACATCTTCGTATTAAAAGTACACAGAGTCATTCGCAGAAACTAGTTTGTGATGTGTGCCTTCAACTCACAGAGTTTAAGCTTTCTTTTCATAGAGCAGTTTGGAAACACTCTATTTGTATAGTCTGCAAGTGGATATTTGGACCTCTTTGAGGCCTTCGTTGGAAACGGGATTTCTTCATATAACGCTAGACAGAAGAATTCTCTGTAACTTCTTTGTGTTGTGTGTATTCCACTCACAGAGTTGAACCTTTGTTGAGAGAGAGCAGAGTTGAAACACTCTTTCTGTGGAATTTGCTAGTGCAGATTTCAAACGCTTCGAAGACAGTGATAGAAAAGGATATATCTTCGTATTAAAACTAGACAAAATCATTCTCAGAAAACACTTTGTGATGTGTGTGTTCAACTCACAGAGTTTAACCTTTCTTTAATCGAGCAGTTTGGAAATGCACTCTTTGTAAGTCTGCAGGTGGATAATTGTCCCTCTATGAGCCCTTCGTTGGAAACGGGATTTCCTCATATAATGCTAGACAGAAGTATTCTCAGTAACTTCTTTGTGTTGTTTGTATTCAACTCACAGATTTGAAACTTCCTTTAGAGAGAGCAGATTTGAAACACTCTGTTTTTGGAATTTGCAAGTGCAGATTGCAAGCGCTTCTAGGCCTATGGCAGAAAAGGAAATATCTTCGTATAAAAACTACACAGAATCATTCTCAACAACTACTTTGTGATGTGTGTGTTCAACTCACAGAGTTTAACCTTTCTTTTCATAGAGCAGTTTGGAAACACTCTGTTTGTAAAGTCTGCAGGTGCTTATTTGGACTTCTTTGAGGCCTTCGTTGGAAACGGGATTTCTTCATATAATGCTAGACAGAAGAATTCTCAGTCACTTCTTTGTGTTGTGTGTATTCAAGTCAGAGAGTTGAACCTTCCTTTACACAGAGCAGTTTTGAAAAACTCTTTCTGTGGAATTTGCAAGTGGAGATTTCAAGCGATTTGAGGCTAATCTTTGAAATGGAAATATCTTCGTGTACAAACTACACAGAATCATTGTCAGAAACTGCTTTGTTATGTGTGCGTTCAGCTCACAGAGTTCCACCTTTCTTTTCATAGAGCAGTTTGGAAAGACTCTGTCTGTAAAGTCTGCAAGTGATTACTTCGACCCCTTTGAGGACTTCGTTGGAAGCGGGATTTTTTCATTTACTGCTAGACAGAAGAATTCTCAGTCACTTCTTTGTGTTGTGTGTATTCAAGTCACAGAGTTGAACTTTCCTTTACACAGAGCAGTTTTGAAAAACTCTTTCTGTGGAATTTGCAAGTGGAGATTTCAAGCGATTTGAGGCTAATACTTTGAAATGGAAATAGCTTCGTGTAAAAACTACACAGAATCATTCTCAGAAACTGCTTTGTTATGTGTGCGTTTAGCTCACAGAGTTCCACCTTTCTTTTCATAGAGCAGTTTGGAAAGACTCTGTCTGTAAAGTCTGCAAGTGATTACTTGGACCCCTTTGAGGACTTCGTTGGAAGCGGGATTTTTTCATTTACTGCTAGACAGAAGAATTCTCAGTAAATCCTTTGTGTTGTGTGTATTCAACTCACAGAGTGGAACCTTCCTTTATTCAGAGCAGTTTTGAAACACTCTTTTTGTGGAATTTGCAAGTGGAGATTTCAAGCGAATTCACGCCAATCTTAGACATGGAAACATCTTCGTATTAAAAGTACACAGAGTCATTCGCAGAAACTAGTTTGTGATGTGTGCCTTCAACTCACAGAGTTTAACCTTTCTTTTCATAGAGCAGTTTGGAAACACTCTATTTGTAAAGTCTGCAAGTGGATATTTGGACCTCTTTGAGGCCTTCGTTGGAAACGGGATTTCTTCATATAACGCTAGACAGAAGAATTCTCAGTAACTTCTTTGTGTTGTGTGTATTCCACTCACAGAGTTGAACCTTTCTTGAGAGAGAGCAGAGTTGAAACACTCTGTTTGTGGAATTTGCTAGTGCAGATTTCAAACGCTTCGAAGACAGTGATAGAAAAGGATATATCTTCGTATTAAAACTAGACAAAATCATTCTCAGAAAACACTTTGTGATGTGTGTGTTCAACTCACAGAGTTTAACCTTTCTTTAATCGAGCAGTTTGGAAATACACTCTTTGTAAGTCTGCAGCTGGATAATTGTCCCTCTATGAGCCCTTCGTTGGAAACGGGATTTCCTCTTATAATGCTAGACAGAAGAATTCTCAGTAACTTCTTTGTGTTGTTTGTATTCAACTCACAGATTTGAACCTTCCTTTGGAGAGAGCAGATTTGAAACACTCTGTTTTTGGAATTTGCAAGTGCAGATTGCAAGCGCTTCTAGGCCTATGGCAGAAAAGGAAATATCTTCGTATAAAAACTACACAGAATCATTCTCAACAACTACTTTGTGATGTGTGCGTTCAACTCACAGAGTTTAACCTTTCTTTTCATAGAGCAGTTTGGAAACACTCTGTTTGTAAAGTCTGCAGGTGCTTCTTTGGACTTCTTTGAGGCTCTTCGTTGGAAACGGGATTTCTTCATATAATGCTAGACAGAAGAATTCTCAGTCACTTCTTTGTGTTGTGTGTATTCAAGTCACAGAGTTGAACCTTCCTTTAGACAGAGCAGTTTTGAAAAATTCTTTCTGTGGACTTTGCAAGTGGAGATTTCAAGCGATTTGAGGCTAATCTTTGAAATGGAAATAGCTTCGTGTAAAAACTACACAGAATCATTCTCAGAAACTGCTTTGTCATCTGTGCGTTCAGTTCACAGAGTTTCACCTTTCTCTTCATAGAGCAGTTTGGAAAGACTCTGTCTGTAAAGTCTGCAAGTGATTAGTTAGACCCCTTTGAGACCTTCGTTGGAAGCGGGATTTCTCATTTACTGCTAGACAGAAGAATTCTCAGTAAATCCTTTGTGTTGTGTGTATTCAACTCACAGAGTGGAACCTTCCTTTATTCAGAGCAGTTTTGAAACAGTCTTTTTGTGGAATTTGCAAGTGGAGATTTCAAGCGATTTGACGCCAATCTTAGACATGGAAATATCTTCATATTAAAAGTACACAGAGTCATTCGTAGAAACTAGTTTGTGATGTGTGCCTTCAACTCACAGAGTTTAACCTTTCTTTTCATAGAGCAGTTGGGAAACACTCTATTTGTAAAGTCTGCAAGTGGATATTTGGACCTCTTTGAGGCCTTCGTTGGAAACGGGATTTCTTCATATAACGCTAGACAGAAGAATTCTCAGTAACTTCTTTGTGTTGTGTGTATTCAACTCACAGAGTTGAACCTTTCTTTAGAGGGAGCAGAGGTGAAACACTCTTTTTGTGGAATTTGCTAGTGTAGATTTCAAACGCTTCGAAGACAGTGATAGAAAAGGATATATCTTCGTATTAAAAGTAGACAAAATCATTCTCAGAAAACTCTTTGTGATGTGTGTGTTCAACTCACAGAGTTTAACCTTTCTTTAATCGAGCAGTTTGGAAATACACTCTTTGTAATTCTGCAGGTGGATATTTGGCCCTCTTTGAGCCCTTCGTTGGAAACGGGATTTCCTCATATAATGCTAGACAGAAGAATTCTCAGTAACTTCTTTGTGTTGTTTGTATTCAACACACAGATTTGAACCTTCCTTTAGAGAGAGCAGATTTGAAACACTCTGTTTTTGGAATTTGCAAGTGCAGATTTCAAGCGCTTCTAGGCCTATGGCAGAAAAGGAAATATCTTCGTATAAAAACTACACAGAATCATTCTCAACAACTACTTTGTGATGTGTGCGTTCAACTCACAGAGTTTAACCTTTCTTTTCATAGAGCAGTTTGGAAACACTCTGTTTGTAAAGCCTGCAAGTGCTTTTTTGGACTTCATTGAGGACTTCGTTGGAAACGGGATTTCTTCATATAATGCTAGACAGAAGAATTCTCAGTCACTTCTTTGTGTTGTGTGTATTCAAGTCACAGAGTTGAACCTTCCTTTAGACAGAGCAGTTTTGAAAAATTCTTTCTGTGGAGTTTGCAAGTGGAGATTTCAAGCGATTTGAGGCTAATCTTTGAAATGGAAATATCTTTCGTGTAAAAACTACACAGAATCATTCTCAGAAACTGCTTTGTCATCTGTGCGTTCAGTTCACAGAGTTTCACCTTTCTCTTCATAGAGCAGTTTGGAAAGACTCTGTCTGTAAAGTCTGCAAGTGATTAGTTAGACCCCTTTGAGGCCTTCGTTGGAAGCGGGATTTCTCATTTACTGCTAGACAGAAGAATTCTCAGTAAATCCTTTGTGTTGTGTGTATTCAACTCACAGAGTGGAACCTTCCTTTATTCAGAGCAGTTTTGAAAAACACTTTTTGTGGAATTTGCAAGTGGAGATTTCAAGCGATTTGACGCCAATCTTAGACATGGAAATATCTTCATATTAAAAGTACACAGAGTCATTCGTAGAAACTAGTTTGCGATGTGTGCCTTCAACTCACAGAGTTTAACCTTTCTTTTCATAGAGCAGTTTGCAAACACTCTATTTGTAAAGTCTGCAAGTGGATATTTGGACCTCTTTGAGGCCTACGTTGGAAAAGGGATTTCTTCATACAATGCTAGACAGAAGAATTCTCAGTAACTTCTTTGTGTTGTGTGTATTCAACTCACAGAGTTGAACGTTTCTTTAGAGAGAGCAGAGTTGAAACACTCTTTTTGTGGAATTTGCTAGTGCAGACTTCAAACGCTTCGAAGACAGTGATAGAAAAGCATATATCTTCGTATTAAAACTAGACAAAATCATTCTCAGAAAACACTTTGTGATGTGTGTGTTCAACTCACAGAGTTTAACCTTTCTTTAATCGAGCAGTTTGGAAATACACTCTTTGTAAGTCTGCAGGTGGATAATTGGCCCTCTTTGAGCCCTTCGTTGGAAACGGGATTTCCTCATATAATGCTAGAGAGAAGAATTCTCAGTAACTTCTTTGTGTTGTTTGTATTCAACTCACTGATTTGAACCTTCCTTTAGAGAGAGCAGATTTGAAACACTCTGTTTTTGGAATTTGCAAGTGCAGATTTCAAGCGCTTCTAGGCCTATGGCAGAAAAGGAAATATCTTCGTATAAAAACTACACAGAATCATTCTCAACAACTACTTTGTGATGTGTGCGTTCAACTCACAGAGTTTAACCTTTCTTTTCATAGAGCAGTTTGGAAACACTCTGTTTGTAAAGTCTGCAGGTGCTTCTTTGGACTTCTTTGAGGCCTTCGTTGGAAACGGGATTTCTTCATGTAATGCTAGACAGAAGAATTCTCAGTCACTTCTTTGTGTTGTGTGTATTCAAGTCACAGAGTTGAACCTTCCTTTACACAGAGCAGTTTTGAAAAACTCTTTCTGTGGAATTTGCAAGTGGAGATTTCAAGCGATTTGAGGCTAATCTTTGAAATGGAAATAGCTTCGTGTAAAAACCACACAGAATCATTCTCAGAAACTGCTTTGTTATGTGTGCGTTCAGCTCACAGAGTTCCACCTTTCTTTTCATAGAGCAGTTTGGAAAGACTCTGTCTGTAAAGTCTGCAAGTGATTACTTGGACCCCTTTGAGGACTTCGTTGGAAGCGGGATTTTTTCATTTACTGCTAGACAGAAGAATTCTCAGTAAATCCTTTGTGTTGTGTGTATTCAACTCACAGAGTGGAACCTTCCTCTATTCACAGCTGTTTTGAAACATTCTTTTTGTGGAATTTGCAGGTGGAGATTTCAAGCGAATTCACGCCAATCTTAGACATGGAAACATCTTCGTATTAAAAGTACACAGAGTCATTCACAGAAACTAGTTTGTGATGTGTGCCTTCAACTCACGGAGTTTAACCTTTCTTTTCATAGAGCAGTTTGGAAACACTCTATCTGTAAAGTCTGCAAGTGGATATTTGCACCTCTTTGAGGCCTTCGTTGGAAACGGGATTTCTTCATATAACGCTAGACAGAAGAATTCTCAGTAACTTCTTTGTGTTGTGTGTATTCAACTCACAGAGTTGAACCTTTCTTGAGAGAGAGCAGAGTGGAAACACTCTTTTTGTGGAATTTGCTAGTGCAGATTTCAAACGCTTCGAAGACAGTGATAGAAAAGGATATATCTTCGTATTAAAACTAGACAAAATCATTCTCAGAAAACACTTTGTGATGTGTGTGTTCAACTCACAGAGTTTAACCTTTCTTTAATCGAGCAGTTTGGAAATACACTCTTTGTAAGTCTGCAGGTGGATAATTGGCCCTCTTTGAGCCCTTCGTTGGAAACGGGATTTCCTCATATAATGCTAGACAGAAGAATTCTCAGTAACTTCTTTGTGTTGTTTGTATTCAACTCACAGATTTGAACCTTCCTTTAGAGAGAGCAGATTTGAAACACTCTGTTTTTGGAATTTGCAAGTGCAGATTTAAAGCGCTTATAGGCCTATGGCAGAAAAGGAAATATCTTCGTATAAAAACTACACAGAATCATTCTCAACAACTACTTTGTGATGTGTGCGTTCAACTCACAGAGTTTAACCTTTCTTTTCATAGAGCAGTTTGGAAACACTCTGTTTGTAAAGCCTGCAAGTGCTTTTTTGGACTTCATTGAGGCCTTCGTTGGAAACGGGATTTCTTCATATAATGCTAGACAGAAGAATTCTCAGTCACTTCTTTGTGTTGTGTGTATTCAAGTCACAGAGTTGAACCTTCCTTTAGACAGAGCAGTTTTGAAAAATTCTTTCTGTGGAGTTTGCAAGTGGAGATTTCAAGCGATTTGAGGCTAATCTTTGAAATGGAAATATCTTCGTGTAAAAACTACACAGAATCATTCTCAGAAACTGCTTTGTCATCTGTGCGTTCAGTTCACAGAGTTTCACCTTTCTCTTCATAGAGCAGTTTGGAAAGACTCTGTCTGTAAAGTCTGCAAGTGATTAGTTAGACCCCTTTGAGGCCTTCGTTGGAAGCGGGATTTCTCATTTACTGCTAGACAGAAGAATTCTCAGTAAATCCTTTGTGTTGTGTGTATTCAACTCACAGAGTGGAACCTTCCTTTATTCAGAGCAGTTTTGAAACACTCTTTTTGTGGAATTTGCAAGTGGAGATTTCAAGCGATTTGACGCCAATCTTAGACATGGAAATATCTTCATATTAAAAGTACACAGAGTCATTCGTAGAAACTAGTTTGTGATGTGTGCCTTCAACTCACAGAGTTTAACCTTTCTTTTCATAGAGCAGTTGGGAAACACTCTATTTGTAAAGTCTGCAAGTGGATATTTGGACCTCTTTGAGGCCTTCGTTGGAAACGGGATTTCTTCATATAATGCTAGACAGAAGAATTCTCAGTAACTTCTTTGTGTTGTGTGTATTCAACTCACAGAGTTGAACCTTTCTTTAGAGGGAGCAGAGGTGAAACACTCTTTTTGTGGAATTTGCTAGTGTAGATTTCAAACGCTTCGAAGACAGTGATAGAAAAGGATATATCTTCGTATTAAAAGTAGACAAAGTCATTCGTAAAAACTAGTTTGTGATGTGTGCCTTCAACTCACAGAGTTTAACCTTTCTTTTCATAGAGCAGTTTGGAAACACTCTATTTGTAAAGTCTGCAAGTGGATATTTGGACGTCTTTGAGGCCTTTGTTGGAAAAGGGATTTCTTCGTATAACGCTAGACAGAAGAATTCTCAGTAACTACTTTGTGTTGTGTGTATTCAACTCACAGAGTTGAACCTTTCTTTAGAGAGAGCAGAGTTGAAACACTCTGTTTTTGGAATTTGCAAGTGCAGATTTCAAGCGAATCTAGGCCTATGGCAGAAAAGGAAATATCTTCGTATAAAAACTACACAGAATCATTCTCAACAACTACTTTGTGATGTGTGCGTTCAACTCACAGAGTTTAACCTTTCTTTTCATAGAGCAGTTTGGAAACACTCTGTTTGTAAAGCCTGCAAGTGCTTTTTTGGACTTCATTGAGGCCTTCGTTGGAAACGGGATTTCTTCATATAATGCTAGACAGAAGAATTCTCAGTCACTTCTTTGTGTTGTGTGTATTCAAGTCACAGAGTTGAACCTTCCTTTAGACAGAGCAGTTTTGAAAAATTCTTTCTGTGTAATTTGCAAGTGGAGATTTCAAGCGATTTGAAGCTAATCTTTGAAATGGAAATATCTTCGTGTAAAAACTACACAGAATCATTCTCAGAAACTGCTTTGTCATCTGTGCGTTCAGTTCACAGAGTTTCACCTTTCTCTTCATAGAGCAGTTTGGAAAGACTCTGTCTGTAAAGTCTGCAAGTGATTAGTTAGACCCCTTTGAGGCCTTCGTTGGAAGCGGGATTTCTCATTTACTGCTAGACAGAAGAATTCTCAGTAAATCCTTTGTGTTGTGTGTGTTCAACTCACAGAGTGGAACCTTCCTTTATTCAGAGCAGTTTTGAAACACTCTTTTTGTGGAATTTGCAAGTGGAGATTTCAAGCGAATTCACGCCAATCTTAGACATGGAAACATCTTCGTATTAAAAGTACACAGAGTCATTCGCAGAAACTAGTTTGTGATGTGTGCCTTCAACTCACAGAGTTTAACCTTTCTTTTCATAGAGCAGTTTGGAAACACTCTATTTGTAAAGTCTGCAAGTGGATATTTGGACCTCTTTGAGGCCTTCGTTGGAAACGGGATTTCTTCATATAACGCTAGACAGAAGAATTCTCAGTAACTTCTTTGTGTTGTGTGTATTCCACTCACAGAGTTGAACCTTTCTTGAGAGAGAGCAGAGTTGAAACACTCTGTTTGTGGAATTTGCTAGTGCAGATTTCAAACGCTTCGAAGACAGTGATAGAAAAGGATATATCTTCGTATTAAAACTAGACAAAATCATTCTCAGAAAACACCTTGTGATGTGTGTGTTCAACTCACAGAGTTTAACCTTTCTTTAATCGAGCAGTTTGGAAATACACTCTTTGTAAGTCTGCAGCTGGATAATTGTCCCTCTATGAGCCCTTCGTTGGAAACGGGATTTCCTCTTATAATGCTAGAGAGAAGAATTCTCAGTAACTTCTTTGTGTTGTTTGTATTCAACTCACAGATTTGAACCTTCCTTTGGAGAGAGCAGATTTGAAACACTCTGTTTTTGGAATTTGCAAGTGCAGATTGCAAGCGCTTCTAGGCCTATGGCAGAAAAGGAAATATCTTCGTATAAAAACTACACAGGATCATTCTCAACAACTACTTTGTGATGTGTGCGTTCAACTCACAGAGTTTAACCTTTCTTTTCATAGAGCAGTTTGGAAACACTCTGTTTGTAAAGTCTGCAGGTGCTTATTTGGACTTCTTTGAGGCCTTCGTTGGAAACGGGATTTCTTCATATAATGCTAGACAGAAGAATTCTCAGTCACTTCTTTGTGTTGTGTGTATTCAAGTCACAGAGTTGAACCTTCCTTTACACAGAGCAGTTTTGAAAAACTCTTTCTGTGGAATTTGCAAGTGGAGATTTCAAGCGATTTGAGGCTAATCTTTGAAATGGAAATATCTTCGTGTAAAAACTACACAGAATCATTCTCAGAAACTGCTTTGTTATGTGTGCGTTCAGCTCACAGAGTTCCACCTTTCTTTTCATAGAGCAGTTTGGAAAGACTCTGTCTGTAAAGTCTGCAAGTGATTACTTGGACCCCTTTGAGGACTTCGTTGGAAGCGGGATTTTTTCATTTACTGCTAGACAGAAGAATTCTCAGTAAATCCTTTGTGTTGTGTGTATTCAACTCACAGAGTGGAACCCTCCTTTATTCAGAGCACTTTTGAAACACTCTTTTTGTGGAATTTGCAAGTGGAGATTTCAAGCGAATTCACGCCAATCTTAGACATGGAAACATCTTCGTATTAAAAGTACACAGAGTCATTCGCAGAAACTAGTTTGTGATGTGTGCCTTCAACTCACGGAGTTTAACCTTTCTTTTCATAGAGCAGTTTGGAAACACTCTATTTGTAAAGTCTGCAAGTGGATATTTGGACCTCTTTGAGGCCTTCGTTGGAAACGGGATTTCTTCATATAACGCTAGACGGAAGATTCTCAGTAACTTCTTTGTGTTGTTTGTATTCAACTCACAGATTTGAACCTTCCTTTGGAGAGAGCAGATTTGAAACACTCTGTTTTTGGAATTTGCAAGTGCAGATTGCAAGCGCTTCTAGGCCTATGGCAGAAAAGGAAATATCTTCGTATAAAAACTACACAGAATCATTCTCAGAAAACACTTTGTGATGTGTGTGTTCAACTCACAGAGTTTAACCTTTCTTTAATCGAGCAGTTTGGAAATACACTCTTTGTAAGTCTGCAGCTGGATAATTGTCCCTCTATGAGCCCTTCGTTGGAAACGGGATTTCCTCATATAATGCTAGACAGAAGAATTCTCAGTAAGTTCCTTGTATTGTTTGTATTCAACTCACAGATTTGAACTTTCCTTTAGAGAGAGCAGATTTGAAACACTCTGTTTTTGGAATTTGCAAGTGCAGATTGCAAGCGCTTCTAGGCCTATGGCAGAAAAGGAAATATCTTCGTATAAAAACTACACAGAATCATTCTCAGAAAACACTTTGTGATGTGTGTGTTCAACTCACAGAGTTTAACCTTTCTTTAATCGAGCAGTTTGGAAATACACTCTTTGTAAGTCTGCAGCTGGATAATTGTCCCTCTATGAGCCCTTCGTTGGAAACGGGATTTCCTCATATAATGCTAGACAGAAGAATTCTCAGTAACTTCTTTGTGTTGTTTGTATTCAACTCACAGATTTGAACCTTCCTTTGGAGAGAGCAGATTTGAAACACTCTGTTTTTGGAATTTGCAAGTGCAGATTGCAAGCGCTTCTAGGCCTATGGCAGAAAAGGAAATATCTTCGTATAAAAACTACACAGACTCATTCTCAACAACTACTTTGTGATGTGTGCGTTCAACTCACAGAGTTTAACCTTTCTTTTCATAGAGCAGTTTGGAAACACTCTGTTTGTAAAGTCTGCAGGTGCTTATTTGGACTTCTTTGAGGCCTTCGTTGGAAACGGGATTTCTTCATATAATGCTAGACAGAAGAATTCTCAGTCACTTCTTTGTGTTGTGTGTATTCAAGTCACAGAGTTGAACCTTCCTTTACACAGAGCAGTTTTGAAAAACTCTTTCTGTGGAATTTGCAAGTGGAGATTTCAAGCGATTTGAGGCTAATCTTTGAAATGGAAATATCTTCGTGTAAAAACTACACAGAATCATTCTCAGAAACTGCTTTGTTATGTGTGCGTTCAGCTCACAGAGTTCCACCTTTCTTTTCATAGAGCAGTTTGGAAAGACTCTGTCTGTAAAGTCTGCAAGTGATTACTTGGACCCCTTTGAGGACTTCGTTGGAAGCGGGATTTTTTCATTTACTGCTAGACAGAAGAATTCTCAGTAAATCCTTTGTGTTGTGTGTATTCAACTCACAGAGTGGAACCTTCCTTTGTTCAGAGCACTTTTGAAACACTCTTTTTGTGGAATTTGCAAGTGGAGATTTCAAGCGAATTCACGCCAATCTTAGACATGGAAACATCTTCGTATTAAAAGTACACAGAGTCATTCGCAGAAACTAGTTTGTGATGTGTGCCTTCAACTCACGGAGTTTAACCTTTCTTTTCATAGAGCAGTTTGGAAACACTCTATTTGTAAAGTCTGCAAGTGGATATTTGGACCTCTTTGAGGCCTTCGTTGGAAACGGGATTTCTTCATATAACGCTAGACAGAAGAATTCTCAGTAACTTCTTTGTGTTGTGTGTATTCAAGTCACAGAGTTGAACCTTCCTTTACACAGAGCAGTTTTGAAAAACTCTTTCTGTGGAATTTGCAAGTGGAGATTTCAAGCGATTTGAGGCTAATCTTTGAAATGGAAATAGCTTCGTGTAAAAACTACACAGAATCATTCTCAGAAACTGCTTTGTTATGTGTGCGTTCAGCTCACAGAGTTCCACCTTTCTTTTCATAGAGCAGTTTGGAAAGACTCTGTCTGTAAAGTCTGCAAGTGATTACTTGGACCCCTTTGAGGACTTCGTTGGAAGCGGGATTTTTTCATTTACTGCTAGACAGAAGAATTCTCAGTAAATCCTTTGTGTTGTGTGTATTCAACTCACAGAGTGGAACCTTCCTTTATTCAGAGCAGTTTTGAAACACTCTTTTTGTGGAATTTGCAAGTGGAGATTTCAAGCGAATTCACGCCAATCTTAGACATGGAAACATCTTCGTATTAAAAGTACACAGAGTCATTCGCAGAAACTAGTTTGTGATGTGTGCCTTCAACTCACAGAGTTTAACCTTTCTTTTCATAGAGCAGTTTGGAAACACTCTATTTGTAAAGTCTGCAAGTGGATATTTGGACCTCTTTGAGGCCTTCGTTGGAAACGGGATTTCTTCATATAATGCTAGACAGAAGAATTCTCAGTCACTTCTTTGTGTTGTGTGTATTCAAGTCACAGAGTTGAACCTTCCTTTACACAGAGCAGTTTTGAAAAACTCTTTCTGTGGAATTTGCAAGTGGAGATTTCAAGCGATTTGAGGCTAATCTTTGAAATGGAAATATCTTCGTGTAAAAACTACACAGAATCATTCTCAGAAACTGCTTTGTTATGTGTGCGTTCAGCTCACAGAGTTCCACCTTTCTTTTCATAGAGCAGTTTGGAAAGACTCTGTCTGTAAAGTCTGCAAGTGATTACTTGGACCCCTTTGAGGACTTCGTTGGAAGCGGGATTTTTTCATTTACTGCTAGACAGAAGAATTCTCAGTAAATCCTTTGTGTTGTGTGTATTCAACTCACAGAGTGGAACCTTCCTTTATTCAGAGCACTTTTGAAACACTCTTTTTGTGGAATTTGCAAGTGGAGATTTCAAGCGAATTCACGCCAATCTTAGACATGGAAACATCTTCGTATTAAAAGTACACAGAGTCATTCGCAGTAAACTAGTTTGTGATGTGTGCCTTCAACTCACGGAGTTTAACCTTTCTTTTCATAGAGCAGTTTGGAAACACTCTATTTGTAAAGTCTGCAAGTGGATATTTGGACCTCTTTGAGGCCTTCGTTGGAAACGGGATTTCTTCATATAACGCTAGACAGAAGAATTCTCTGTGACTTCTTTGTGTTGTGTGTATTCCACTCACAGAGTTGAACCTTTCTTGAGAGAGAGCAGAGTGGAAACACTCTTTTTGTGGAATTTGCTAGTGCAGATTTCAAACGCTTCGAAGACAGTGATAGAAAAGGATATATCTTCGTATTAAAACTAGACAAAATCATTCTCAGAAAACACTTTGTGATGTGTGTGTTCAACTCACAGAGTTTAACCTTTCTTTAATCGAGCAGTTTGGAAATACACTCTTTGTAAGTCTGCAGGTGGATAATTGTCCCTCTATGAGCCCTTCGTTGGAAACGGGATTTCCTCATATAATGCTAGACAGAAGAATTCTCAGTCACTTCTTTGTGTTGTGTGTATTCAAGTCACAGAGTTGAACCATCCTTTACACAGAGCAGTTTTGAAAAACTCTTTCTGTGGAATTTGCAAGTGGAGATTTCAAGCGATTTGAGGCTAATCTTTGAAATGGAAATAGCTTCGTGTAAAAACTACACAGAATCATTCTCAGAAACTTCTTTGTTATGTGTGCGTTCAGCTCACAGAGTTCCACCTTTCTTTTCATAGAGCAGTTTGGAAAGACTCTGTCTGTAAAGTCTGCAAGTGATTACTTGGACCCCTTTGAGGACTTCGTTGGAAGCGGGATTTTTTCATTTACTGCTAGACAGACGAATTCTCAGTAAATCCTTTGTGTTGTGTGTATTCAACTCACAGAGTGGAACCTTCCTGTATTCAGAGCAGTTTTGAAACACTCTTTTTGTGGAATTTGCAAGTGGAGATTTCAAGCGAATTCACGCCAATCTTAGACATGGAAACATCTTCGTATTAAAAGTACACAGAGTCATTCGCAGAAACTAGTTTGTGATGTGTGCCTTCAACTCACGGAGTTTAACCTTTCTTTTCATAGAGCAGTTTGGAAACACTCTATTTGTAAAGTCTGCAAGTGGATATTTGGACCTCTTTGAGGCCTTCGTTGGAAACGGGATTTCTTCATATAACGCTAGACAGAAGAATTCTCAGTAACTTCTTTGTGTTGTGTGTATTCCACTCACAGAGTTGAACCTTTCTTGAGAGAGAGCAGAGTTGAAACACTCTGTTTGTGGAATTTGCTAGTGCAGATTTCAAACGCTTCGAAGACAGTGATAGAAAAGGATATATCTTCGTATTAAAACTAGACAAAGTCATTCTCAGAAAACACTTTGTGATGTGTGTGTTCAACTCACAGAGTTTAACCTTTCTTTAATCGAGCAGTTTGGAAATACACTCTTTGTAAGTCTGCAGCTGGATAATTGTCCCTCTATGAGCCCTTCGTTGGAAACGGGATTTCCTCATATAATGCTAGACAGAAGAATTTTCAGTAACTTTTTTGTGTTGTGTCTGTTCAACTCACAGTTTTGAAACTTCCTTTACAGAGAGCAGATTTGAAACACTCTTTTTGTGGAATTTGCAAGTGCAGATTTCAAGCGCTTCTAGGCCAATGGTAGAAAAGGAAGTATCTTCGTATAAAAACTAGACAGAATCATTCTCAACAACTACTTTGTGATGTGTGCGTTCAACTCACAGAGTTTAACCTTTCTTTTCATAGAGCAGTTTGGAAACACTCTGTTTGTAAAGCCTGCAAGTGCTTTTTTGGACTTCATTGAGGCCTTCGTTGGAAACGGGATTTCTTCATATAATGCTAGACAGAAGAATTCTCAGTCACTTCTTTGTGTTGTGTGTATTCAAGTCACAGAGTTGAGCCTTCCTTTAGACAGAGCAGTTTTGAAAAATTCTTTCTGTGGAGTTTGCAAGTGGAGATTTCAAGCGATTTGAGGCTAATCTTTGAAATGGAAATATCTTCGTGTAAAAACTACACAGAATCATTCTCAGAAACTGCTTTGTCATCTGTGCGTTCAGTTCACAGAGTTTCACCTTTCTCTTCATAGAGCAGTTTGGAAAGACTCTGTCTGTAAAGTCTGCAAGTGATTAGTTAGACCCCTTTGAGGCCTTCGTTGGAAGCGGGATTTCTCATTTACTGCTAGACAGAAGAATTCTCAGTAAATCCTTTGTGTTGTGTGTATTCAACTCACAGAGTGGAACCTTCCTTTATTCAGAGCAGTTTTGAAAAACACTTTTTGTGGAATTTGCAAGTGGAGATTTCAAGCGATTTGACGCCAATCTTAGACATGGAAATATCTTCATATTAAAAGTACACAGAGTCATTCGTAGAAACTAGTTTGTGATGTGTGCCTTCAACTCACAGAGTTTAACCTTTCTTTTCATAGAGCAGTTTGGAAACACTCTTTTTGTAAAGTCTGCAAGTGGATATTTGGACCTCTTTGAGGCCTTCGTTGGAAACGGGATTTCTTCATACAACGCTAGACAGAAGAATTCTCAGTAACTTCTTTGTGTTGTGTGTATTCAACTCACAGAGTTGAACCTTTCTTTAGAGAGAGCAGAGTTGAAACACTCTGTTTTTGGAATTTGCAACTGCAGATTTCAAGCGATTCTAGGCCTATGGCAGAAAAGGAAATATCTTCGTATAAAAACTACACAGAATCATTCTCAACAACTACTTTGTGATGTGTGCGTTCAACTCACAGAGTTTAACCTTTCTTTTCATAGAGCAGTTCGGAAACACTCTGTTTGTAAAGACTGCAAGTGCTTTTTTGGACTTCATTGAGGCCTTCGTTGGAAACGGGATTTCTTCATGTAATGCTAGACAGAAGAATTCTCAGTCACTTCTTTGTGTTGTGTGTATTCAAGTCACAGAGTTGAACCTTCCTTTAGACAGAGCACTTTTGAAAAATTCTTTCTGTGTAATTTGCAAGTGGAGATTTCAAGCGATTTGAGGCTAATCTTTGAAATGGAAATATCTTCGTGTAAAAACTACACAGAATCATTCTCAGAAACTGCTTTGTCATCTGTGCGTTCAGTTCACAGAGTTTCACCTTTCTCTTCATAGAGCAGTTTGGAAAGACTCTGTCTGTAAAGTCTGCAAGTGATTAGTTAGACCCCTTTGAGGCCTTCGTTGGAAGCGGGATTTCTCATTTACTGCTAGACAGAAGAATTCTCAGTAAATCCTTTGTGTTGTGTGTATTCAACTCACAGAGTGGAACCTTCCTTTATTCAGAGCAGTTTTGAAACACTCTTTTTGTGGAATTTGCAAGTGGAGATTTCAAGCGATTTGACGCCAATCTTAGACATGGAAATATCTTCATATTAAAAGTACACAGAGTCATTCGTAGAAACTAGTTTGTGATGTGTGCCTTCAACTCACAGAGTTTAACCTTTCTTTTCATAGAGCAGTTTGGAAACACTCTATTTGTAAAGTCTGCAAGTGGATATTTGGACCTCTTTGAGGCCTTCGTTGGAAACGGGATTTCTTCATACAACGCTAGACAGAAGAATTCTCAGTAACTTCTTTGTGTTGTGTGTATTCAACTCACAGAGTTGAACCTTTCTTTAGAGAGAGCAGAGTTGAAACACTCTGTTTTTGGAATTTGCAAGCGCAGATTTCAAGCGATTCTAGGCCTATGGCAGAAAAGGAAATATCTTCGTATAAAAACTACACAGAATCATTCTCAACAACTACTTTGTGATGTGTGCGTTCAACTCACAGAGTTTAACCTTTCTTTTCATAGAGCAGTTTGGAAACACTCTGTTTGTAAAGCCTGCAAGTGCTTTTTTGGACTTCATTGAGGCCTTCGTTGGAAACGGGATTTCTTCATATAATGCTAGACAGAAGAATTCTCAGTCACTTCTTTGTGTTGTGTGTATTCAAGTCACAGAGTTGAACCTTCCTTTAGACAGAGCAGTTTTGAAAAGTTCTTTCTGTGGAGTTTGCAAGTGGAGATTTCAAGCGATTTGAGGCTAATCTTTGAAATGGAAATATCTTCGTGTAAAAACTACACAGAATCATTGTCAGAAACTGCTTTGTTATGTGTGCGTTCAGCTCACAGAGTTCCACCTTTCTTTTCATAGAGCAGTTTGGAAAGACTCTGTCTGTAAAGTCTGCAAGTGATTACTTGGACCCCTTTGAGGACTTCGTTGGAAGCGGGATTTTTTCATTTACTGCTAGACAGAAGAATTCTCAGTAAATCCTTTGTGTTGTGTGTATTCAACTCACAGAGTGGAACCTTCCTCTATTCAGAGCTGTTTTGAAACATTCTTTTTGTGGAATTTGCAGGTGGAGATTTCAAGCGAATTCACGCCAATCTTAGACATGGAAACATCTTCGTATTAAAAGTACACAGAGTCATTCGCAGAAACTAGTTTGTGATGTGTGCCTTCAACTCACGGAGTTTAACCTTTCTTTTCATAGAGCAGTTTGGAAACACTCTATCTGTAAAGTCTGCAAGTGGATATTTGGACCTCTTTGAGGCCTTCGTTGGAAACGGGATTTCTTCATATAACGCTAGACAGAAGAATTCTCAGTAACTTCTTTGTGTTGTGTGTATTCAACTCACAGAGTTGAACCTTTCTTGAGAGAGAGCAGAGTTGAAACACTCTTTCTGTGGAATTTGCTAGTGCAGATTTCAAACGCTTCGAAGACAGTGATAGAAAAGGATATATCTTCGTATTAAAACTAGACAAAATCATTCTCAGAAAACACTTTGTGATGTGTGTGTTCAACTCACAGAGTTTAACCTTTCTTTAATCGAGCAGTTTGGAAATACACTCTTTGTAAATCTGCAGCTGGATAATTGTCCCTCTATGAGCCCTTCGTTGGAAACGGGATTTCCTCTTATAATGCTAGACAGAAGAATTCACAGTAACTTCTTTGTGTTGTTTGTATTCAACTCACAGATTTGAACCTTCCTTTAGAGAGAGCAGATTTGAAACACTCTGTTTTTGGAATTTGCAAGTGCAGATTACAAGCGCTTCTAGGCCTATGGCAGAAAAGGAAATATCTTCGTATAAAAACTACACAGAATCATTCTCAACAACTACTTTGTGATGTGTGCGTTCAACTCACAGAGTTTAACCTTTCTTTTCATAGAGCAGTTTGGAAACACTCTGTTTGTAAAGTCTGCAGGTGCTTATTTGGACTTCTTTGAGGCCTTCGTTGGAAACGGGATTTCTTCATGTAATGCTAGACAGAAGAATTCTCAGTCACTTCTTTGTGTTGTGTGTATTCAAGTCACAGAGTTGAACCTTCCTTTACACAGAGCAGTTTTGAAAAACTCTTTCTGTGGAATTTGCAAGTGGAGATTTCAAGCGATTTGAGGCTAATCTTTGAAATGGAAATAGCTTCGTGTAAAAACGACACAGAATCATTCTCAGAAACTGCTTTGTTATGTGTGCGTTCAGCTCACAGAGTTCCACCTTTCTTTTCATAGAGCAGTTTGGAAAGACTCTGTCTGTAAAGTCTGCAAGTGATTACTTGGACCCCTTTGAGGACTTCGTTGGAAGCGGGATTTTTTCATTTACTGCTAGACAGAAGAATTCTCAGTAAATCCTTTGTGTTGTGTGTATTCAACTCACAGAGTGGAACCTTCCTTTATTCAGAGCACTTTTGAAACACTCTTTTTGTGGAATTTGCAAGTGGAGATTTCAAGCGAATTCACGCCAATCTTAGACATGGAAACATCTTCGTATTAAAAGTACACAGAGTCATTTGCAGAAACTAGTTTGTGATGTGTGCCTTCAACTCACGGAGTTTAACCTTTCTTTTCATAGAGTAGTTTGGAAACACTCTATTTGTAAAGTCTGCAAGTGGATATTTGGACCTCTTTGAGGCCTTCGTTGGAAACGGGATTTCTTCATATAACGCTAGACAGAAGAATTCTCAGTAACTTCTTTGTGTTGTGTGTATTCAACTCACAGAGTTGAACCTTTCTTGAGAGAGAGCAGAGTTGAAACACTCTGTTTGTGGAATTTGCTAGTGCAGATTTCAAACGCTTCGAAGACAGTGATAGAAAAGGATATATCTTCGTATTAAAACTAGACAAAATCATTCTCAGAAAACACTTTGTGATGTGTGTGTTCAACTCACAGAGTTTAACCTTTCTTTAATCGAGCAGTTTGGAAATACACTCTTTGTAAGTCTGCAGCTGGATAATTGTCCCTCTATGAGCCCTTCGTTGGAAACAGGATTTCCTCTTATAATGCTAGACAGAAGAATTCTCAGTAACTTCTTTGTGTTGTTTGTATTCAACTCACAGATTTGAACCTTCCTTTAGAGAGAGCAGATTTGAAACACTCTGTTTTTGGAATTTGCAAGTGCAGATTACAAGCGCTTCTAGGCCTATGGCAGAAAAGGAAATATCTTCGTATAAAAACTACACAGAATCATTCTCAACAACTACTTTGTGATGTGTGCGTTCAACTCACAGAGTTTAACCTTTCTTTTCATAGAGCAGTTTGGAAACACTCTGTTTGTAAAGTCTGCAGGTGCTTATTTGGACTTCTTTGAGGCCTTCGTTGGAAACGGGATTTCTTCATGTAATGCTAGACAGAAGAATTCTCAGTCACTTCTTTGTGTTGTGTGTATTCAAGTCACAGAGTTGAACCTTCCTTTACACAGAGCAGTTTTGAAAAACTCTTTCTGTGGAATTTGCAAGTGGAGATTTCAAGCGATTTGAGGCTAATCTTTGAAATGGAAATAGCTTCGTGTAAAAACTACACAGAATCATTGTCAGAAACTGCTTTGTTATGTGTGCGTTCAGCTCACAGAGTTCCACCTTTCTTTTCATAGAGCAGTTTGGAAAGACTCTGTCTGTAAAGTCTGCAAGTGATTACTTGGACCCCTTTGAGGACTTCGTTGGAAGCGGGATTTTTTCATTTACTGCTAGACAGAAGAATTCTCAGTAAATCCTTTGTGTTGTGTGTATTCAACTCACAGAGTGGAACCTTCCTTTATTCAGAGCAGTTTTGAAACACTCTTTTTGTGGAAATTGCAAGTGGAGATTTCAAGCGAATTCACGCCAATCTTAGACATGGAAACATCTTCGTATTAAAAGTACACAGAGTCATTCGCAGAAACTAGTTTGTGATGTGTGCCTTCAACTCACGGAGTTTAACCTTTCTTTTCATAGAGCAGTTTGGAAACACTCTATTTGTAAAGTCTGCAAGTGGATATTTGGACCTCTTTGAGGCCTTCGTTGGAAACGGGATTTCTTCATATAACGCTAGACAGAAGAATTCTCAGTAACTTCTTTGTGTTGTGTGTATTCCACTCACAGAGTTGAACCTTTCTTGAGAGAGAGCAGAGTTGAAACACTCCGCTTGTGGAATTTGCTAGTGCAGATTTCAAACGCTTCGAAGACAGTGATAGAAAAGGATATATCTTCGTATTAAAACTAGACAAAATCATTCTCAGAAAACACTTTGTGATGTGTGTGTTCAACTCACAGAGTTTAACCTTTCTTTAATCGAGCAGTTTGGAAATACACTCTTTGTAAGTCTGCAGCTGGATAATTGTCCCTCTATGAGCCCTTCGTTGGAAACGGGATGTCCTCTTATAATGCTAGACAGAAGAATTCTCAGTAACTTCTTTGTGTTGTTTGTATTCAACTCACAGATTTGAACCTTCCTTTAGAGAGAGCAGATTTGAAACACTCTGTTTTTGGAATTTGCAAGTGCAGATTACAAGCGCTTCTAGGCCTATGGCAGAAAAGGAAATATCTTCGTATAAAAACTACACAGAATCATTCTCAACAACTACTTTGTGATGTGTGCGTTCAACTCACAGAGTTTAACCTTTCTTTTCATAGAGCAGTTTGGAAACACTCTGTTTGTAAAGTCTGCAGGTGCTTATTTGGACTTCTTTGAGGCCTTCGTTGGAAACGGGATTTCTTCATGTAATGCTAGACAGAAGAATTCTCAGTCACTTCTTTGTGTTGTGTGTATTCAAGTCACAGAGTTGAACCTTCCTTTACACAGAGCAGTTTTGAAAAACTCTTTCTGTGGAATTTGCAAGTGGAGATTTCAAGCGATTTGAGGCTAATCTTTGGAATGGAAATAGCTTCGTGTAAAAACTACACAGAATCATTCTCAGAAACTGCTTTGTTATGTGTGCGTTCAGCTCACAGAGTTCCACCTTTCTTTTCATAGAGCAGTTTGGAAAGACTCTGTCTGTAAAGTCTGCAAGTGATTACTTGGACCCCTTTGAGGACTTCGTTGGAAGCGGGATTTTTTCATTTACTGCTAGACAGAAGAATTCTCAGTAAATCCTTTGTGTTGTGTGTATTCAACTCACAGAGTGGAACCTTCCTTTATTCAGAGCAGTTTTGAAACACTCTTTTTGTGGAATTTGCAAGTGGAGATTTCAAGCGAATTCACGCCAATCTTAGACATGGAAACATCTTCGTATTAAAAGTACACAGAGTCATTCGCAGAAACTAGTTTGTGATGCGTGCGTTCAACTCACGGAGTTTAACCTTTCTTTTCATAGAGCAGTTTCGAAACACTCTGTTTGTAAAGTCTGCAGGTGCTTATTTGGACTTCTTTGAGGCCTTCGTTGGAAACGGGATTTCTTCATATAATGCTAGACAGAAGAATTCTCAGTCACTTCTTTGTGTTGTGTGTATTCAAGTCACAGAGTTGAACCTTCCTTTACACAGAGCAGTTTTGAAAAACTCTTTCTGTGGAATTTGCAAGTGGAGATGTCAAGCGATTTTAGGCTAATCTTTGAAATGGAAATATCTTCGTGTAAAAACTACACAGAATCATTCTCAGAAACTGCTTTGTTATGTGTGCGTTCAGCTCACAGAGTTCCACCTTTCTCTTCATAGAGCAGTTTGGAAAGACTCTGTCTGTAAAGTCTGCAAGTGATTACTTGGACCCCTTTGAGGACTTCGTTGGAAGCGGGATTTTTTCATTTACTGCTAGACAGAAGAATTCTCAGTAAATCCTTTGTGTTGTGTGTATTCAACTCACAGAGTGGAACCTTCCTTTATTCAGAACACTTTTGAAACACTCTTTTTGTGGAATTTGCAGGTGGAGATTTCAAGCGAATTCACGCCAATCTTAGACATGGAAACATCTTCGTATTAAAAGTACACAGAGTCATTCGCAGAAACTAGTTTGTGATGTGTGCCTTCAACTCACGGAGTTTAACCTTTCTTTTCATAGAGCAGTTTGGAAACACTCTATTTGTAAAGTCTGCAAGTGGATATTTGGACCTCTTTGAGGCCTTCGTTGGAAACGGGATTTCTTCATATAACGCTAGACAGAAGAATTCTCAGTAACTTCTTTGTGTTGTGTGTATTCTACTCACAGAGTTGAACCTTTCTTGAGAGAGAGCAGAGTTGAAACACTCTTTCTGTGGAATTTGCTAGTGCAGATTTCAAACGCTTCGAAGACAGTGATAGAAAAGGATATATCTTCGTATTAAAACTAGACAAAATCATTCTCAGAAAACACTTTGTGATGTGTGTGTTCAACTCACAGAGTTTAACCTTTCTTTAATCGAGCAGTTTGGAAATACACTCTTTGTAAGTCTGCAGCTGGATAATTGTCCCTCTATGAGCCCTTCGTTGGAAACGGGATTTCCTCATATAATGCTAGACAGAAGAATTCTCAGTAACTTCTTTGTGTTGTGTGTATTCCACTCACAGAGTTGAACCTTTCTTGAAAGAGAGCAGAGTTGAAACACTCTGTTTGTGGAATTTGCTAGTGCCGATTTCAAACCCTTCGAAGACAGTGATAGAAAAGGATATATCTTCGTATTAAAACTAGACAAAATCATTCTCAGAAAACACTTTGTGATGTGTGTGTTCAACTCACAGAGTTTAACCTTTCTTTAATCGAGCAGTTTGGAAATACACTCTTTGTAAGTCTGCAGCTGGATAATTGTCCCTCTATGAGCCCTTCGTTGGAAACGGGATTTCCTCTTATAATGCTAGACAGAAGAATTCTCAGTAACTTCTTTGTGTTGTTTGTATTCAACTCACAGATTTGAACCTTCCTTTGGAGAGAGCAGATTTGAAACACTCTGTTTTTGGAATTTGCAAGTGCAGATTACAAGCGCTTCTAGGCCTATGGCAGAAAAGGAAATATCTTCGTATAAAAACTACACAGAATCATTCTCAACAACTACTTTGTGATGTGTGCGTTCAACTCACAGAGTTTAACCTTTCTTTTCATAGAGCAGTTTGGAAACACTCTGTTTGTAAAGTCTGCAGGTGCTTATTTGGACTTCTTTGAGGCCTTCGTTGGAAACGGGATTTCTTCATGTAATGCTAGACAGAAGAATTCTCAGTCACTTCTTTGTGTTGTGTGTATTCAAGTCACAGAGTTGAACCTTCCTTTACACAGAGCAGTTTTGAAAAACTCTTTCTGTGGAATTTGCAAGTGGAGATTTCAAGCGATTTGAGGCTAATCTTTGAAATGGAAATAGCTTCGTGTAAAAACCACACAGAATCATTCTCAGAAACTGCTTTGTTATGTGTGCGTTCAGCTCACAGAGTTCCACCTTTCTTTTCATAGAGCAGTTTGGAAAGACTCTGTCTGTAAAGTCTGCAAGTGATTACTTGGACCCCTTTGAGGACTTCGTTGGAAGCGGGATTTTTTCATTTACTGCTAGACAGAAGAATTCTCAGTAAATCCTTTGTGTTGTGTGTATTCAACTCACAGAGTGGAACCTTCCTTTATTCAGAGCACTTTTGAAACACTCTTTTTGTGGAATTTGCAAGTGGAGATTTCAAGCGAATTCACGCCAATCTTAGACATGGAAACATCTTCGTATTAAAAGTACACAGAGTCATTCGCAGAAACTAGTTTGTGATGTGTGCCTTCAACTCACGGAGTTTAACCTTTCTTTTCATAGAGCAGTTTGGAAACACTCTATTTGTAAAGTCTGCAAGTGGATATTTGGACCTCTTTGAGGCCTTCGTTGGAAACGGGATTTCTTCATATAACGCTAGACAGAAGAATTCTCAGTAACTTCTTTGTGTTGTGTGTATTCAACTCACAGAGTTGAACCTTTCTTGAGAGAGAGCAGAGTTGAAACACTCTGTTTGTGGAATTTGCTAGTGCAGATTTCAAACGCTTCGAAGACAGTGATAGAAAAGGATATATCTTCGTATTAAAACTAGACAAAATCATTCTCAGAAAACACTTTGTGATGTGTGTGTTCAACTCACAGAGTTTAACCTTTCTTTAATCGAGCAGTTTGGAAATACACTCTTTGTAAGTCTGCAGCTGGATAATTGTCCCTCTATGAGCCCTTCGTTGGAAACGGGATTTCCTCTTATAATGCTAGACAGAAGAATTCACAGTAACTTCTTTGTATTGTTTGTATTCAACTCACAGATTTGAACCTTCCTTTAGAGAGAGCAGATTTGAAACACTCTGTTTTTGGAATTTGCAAGTGCAGATTACAAGCGCTTCTAGGCCTATGGCAGAAAAGGAAATATCTTCGTATAAAAACTACACAGAATCATTCTCAACAACTACTTTGTGATGTGTGCGTTCAACTCACAGAGTTTAACCTTTCTTTTCATAGAGCAGTTTGGAAACACTCTGTTTGTAAAGTCTGCAGGTGCTTATTTGGACTTCTTTGAGGCCTTCGTTGGAAACGGGATTTCTTCATATAATGCTAGACAGAAGAATTCTCAGTCACTTCTTTGTGTTGTGTGTATTCAAGTCACAGAGTTGAACCTTCCTTTACACAGAGCAGTTTTGAAAAACTCTTTCTGTGGAATTTGCAAGTGGAGATTTCAAGCGATTTGAGGCTAATCTTTGAAATGGAAATATCTTCGTGTAAAAACTACACAGAATCATTCTCAGAATCTGCTTTGTTATGTGTGCGTTCAGCTCACAGAGTTCCACCTTTCTTTTCATAGAGCAGTTTGGAAAGACTCTGTCTGTAAAGTCTGCAAGTGATTACTTGGACCCCTTTGAGGACTTCTTTGGAAGCGGGATTTTTTCATTTACTGCTAGACAGAAGAATTCTCAGTAAATCCTTTGTGTTGTGTGTATTCAACTCACAGAGTGGAACCTTCCTTTATTCAGAGCAGTTTTGAAACACTCTTTTTGTGGAATTTGCAAGTGGAGATTTCAAGCGAATTCACGCCAATCTTAGACATGGAAACATCTTCGTATTAAAAGTACACAGAGTCATTCGCAGAAACTAGTTTGTGATGTGTGCCTTCAACTCACGGAGTTTAACCTTTCTTTTCATAGAGCAGTTTGGAAACACTCTATTTGTAAGTCTGCAAGTGGATATTTGGACCTCTTTGAGGCCTTCGTTGGAAACGGGATTTCTTCATATAACGCTAGACAGAAGAATTCTCAGTAACTTCTTTGTGTTGTGTGTATTCCACTCACAGAGTTGAACCTTTCTTGAGAGAGAGCAGAGTTGAAACACTCTGTTTGTGGAATTTGCTAGTGCAGATTTCAAACGCTTCGAAGACAGTGATAGAAAAGGATATATCTTCGTATTTAAACTAGACAAAATCATTCTCAGAAAACACTTTGTGATGTGTGTGTTCAACTCACAGAGTTTAACCTTTCTTTAATCGAGCAGTTTGGAAATACACTCTTTGTAAGTCTGCAGCTGGATAATTGTCCCTCTATGAGCCCTTCGTTGGAAACGGGATTTCCTCATATAATGCTAGACAGAAGAATTCTCAGTAACTTCTTTGTGTTGTTTGTATTCAACTCACAGATTTGAACCTTCCTTTGGAGAGAGCAGATTTGAAACACTCTGTTTTTGGAATTTGCAAGTGCAGATTTCAAGCGCTTCTAGGCCTATGGCAGAAAAGGAAATATCTTCGTATAAAAACTACACAGAATCATTCTCAACAACTACTTTGTGATGTGTGCGTTCAACTCACAGAGTTTAACCTTTCTTTTCATAGAGCAGTTTGGAAACACTCTGTTTGTAAAGTCTGCAGGTGCTTATTTGGACTTCTTTGAGGCCTTCGTTGGAAACGGGATTTCTTCATATAATGCTAAACAGAAGAATTCTCAGTCACTTCTTTGTGTTGTGTGTATTCAAGTCACAGAGTTGAACCTTCCTTTACACAGAGCAGTTTTGAAAAACTCTTTCTGTGGAATTTGCAAGTGGAGATTTCAAGCGATTTGAGGCTAATCTTTGAAATGGAAATATCTTCGTGTAAAAACTACACAGAATCATTCTCAGAAACTGCTTTGTTATGTGTGCGTTCAGCTCACAGAGTTTCACCTTTCTATTCATAGAGCAGTTTGGAAAGACTCTGTCTGTAAAGTCTGCAAGTGATTACTTGGACCCCTTTGAGGACTTCGTTGGAAGCGGGATTTTTTCATTTACTGCTAGACAGAAGAATTCTCAGTAAATCCTTTGTGTTGTGTGTATTCAACTCACAGAGTGGAACCTTCCTTTATTCAGAGCAGTTTTGAAAAACACTTTTTGTGGAATTTGCAAGTGGAGATTTCAAGCGATTTGACGCCAATGCTTAGACATGGAAATATCTTCATATTAAAAGTACACAGAGTCATTCGCAGAAACTAGTTTGTGATGTGTGCCTTCAACTCACGGAGTTTAACCTTTCTTTTCATAGAGCAGTTTGGAAACACTCTATTTGTAAAGTCTGCAAGTGGATATTTGGACCTCTTTGAGGCCTTCGTTGGAAACGGGATTTCTTCATATAACGCTAGACAGAAGAATTCTCAGTAACTTCTTTGTGTTGTGTGTATTCCACTCACAGAGTTGAACCTTTCTTGAGAGAGAGCAGAGTTGAAACACTCTGTTTGTGGAATTTGCTAGTGCAGATTTCAAACGCTTCGAAGACAGTGATAGAAAAGGATATATCTTCGTATTAAAACTAGACAAAATCATTCTCAGAAAACACTTTGTGATGTGTGTGTTCAACTCACAGAGTTTAACCTTTCTTTAATCGAGCAGTTTGGAAATACACTCTTTGTAAGTCTGCAGCTGGATAATTGTCCCTCTATGAGCCCTTCGTTGGAAACGGGATTTCCTCTTATAATGCTAGACAGAAGAATTCTCAGTAACTTCTTTGTGTTGTTTGTATTCAACTCACAGATTTGAACCTTCCTTTGGAGAGAGCAGATTTGAAACACTCTGTTTTTGGAATTTGCAAGTGCAGATTGCAAGCGCTTCTAGGCCTATGGCAGAAAATTAAATATCTTCGTATAAAAACTACACAGAATCGTTCTCAACAACTACTTTGTGATGTGTGCGTTCAACTCACAGAGTTTAACCTTTCTTTTCATAGAGCAGTTTGGAAACACTCTGTTTGTAAAGTCTGCAGGTGCTTATTTGGACTTCTTTGAGGCCTTCGTTGGAAACGGGATTTCTTCATAAAATGCTAGACAGAAGAATTCTCAGTCACTTCTTTGTGTTGTGTGTATTCAAGTCACAGAGTTGAACCTTCCTTTACACAGAGCAGTTTTGAAAAACTCTTTCTGTGGAATTTGCAAGTGGAGATTTCAAGCGATTTGAGGCTAATCTTTGAAATGGAAATATCTTCGTGTAAAAACTACACAGAATCATTCTCAGAAACTGCTTTGTTATGTGTGCGTTCAGCTCACAGAGTTCCACCTTTCTTTTCATAGAGCAGTTTGGAAAGACTCTGTCTGTAAAGTCTGCAAGTGATTACTTGGACCCCTTTGAGGACTTCGTTGGAAGCGGGATTTTTTCATTTACTGCTAGACAGAAGAATTCTCAGTAAATCCTTTGTGTTGTGTGTATTCAACTCACAGAGTGGAACCTTCCTTTATTCAGAGCAGTTTTGAAACACTCTTTTTGTGGAATTTGCAAGTGGAGATTTCAAGCGAATTCACGCCAATCTTAGACATGGAAACATCTTCGTATTAAAAGTACACAGAGTCATTCGCAGAAACTAGTTTGTGATGTGTGCCTTCAACTCACGGAGTTTAACCTTTCTTTTCATAGAGCAGTTTGGAAACACTCTATTTGTAAAGTCTGCAAGTGGATATTTGGACGTCTTTGAGGCCTTCGTTGGAAACGGGATTTCTTCATATAACGCTAGACAGAAGAATTCTCAGTAACTTCTTTGTGTTGTGTGTATTCCACTCACAGAGTTGAACCTTTCTTGAGAGAGAGCAGAGTTGAAACACTCTGTTTGTGGAATTTGCTAGTGCCGATTTCAAACGCTTCGAAGACAGTGATAGAAAAGGATATATCTTCGTATTAAAACTAGACAAAATCATTCTCAGAAAACACTTTGTGATGTGTGTGTTCAACTCACAGAGTTTAACCTTTCTTTAATCGAGCAGTTTGGAAATACACTCTTTGTAAGTCTGCAGCTGGATAATTGTCCCTCTATGAGCCCTTCGTTGGAAACGGGATTTCCTCATATAATGCTAGACAGAAGAATTCTCAGTAACTTCTTTGTGTTGTTTGTATTCAACTCACAGATTTGAACCTTCCTTTAGAGAGAGCAGATTTGAAACACTCTGGTTTCGGAATTTGCAAGTGCAGATTACAAGCGCTTCTAGGCCTATGGCAGAAAAGGAAATATCTTCGTATAAAAACTACACAGAATCATTCTCAACAACTACTTTGTGATGTGTGCGTTCAACTCACAGAGTTTAACCTTTCTTTTCATAGAGCAGTTTGGAAACACTCTGTTTGTAAAGTCTGCAGGTGCTTATTTGGACTTCTTTGAGGCCTTCGTTGGAAACGGGATTTCTTCATATAATGCTAGACAGAAGAATTCTCAGTCACTTCTTTGTGTTGTGTGTATTCAAGTCACAGAGTTGAACCTTCCTTTACACAGAGCAGTTTTGAAAAACTCTTTCTGTGGAATTTGCAAGTGGAGATTTCAAGCGATTTGAGGCTAATCTTTGAAATGGAAATATCTTCGTGTAAAAACTACACAGAATCATTCTCAGAAACTTCTTTGTTATGTGTGCGTTCAGCTCACAGAGTTCCACCTTTCTTTTCATAGAGCAGTTTGGAAAGACTCTGTCTGTAAAGTCTGCAAGTGATTACTTGGACCCCTTTGAGGACTTCGTTGGAAGCGGGATTTTTTCATTTACTGCTAGACAGAAGAATTCTCAGTAAATCCTTTGTGTTGTGTGTATTCAACTCACAGAGTGGAACCTTCCTTTATTCAGAGCACTTTTGAAACACTCTTTTTGTGGAATTTGCAAGTGCAGATTTCAAGCGAATTCACGCCAATCTTAGACATGGAAACATCTTCGTATTAAAAGTACACAGAGTCATTCGCAGAAACTAGTTTGTGATGTGTGCCTTCAACTCACGGAGTTTAACCTTTCTTTTCATAGAGCAGTTTGGAAACACTCTATCTGTAAAGTCTGTAAGTGGATATTTGGACCTCTTTGAGGCCTTCGTTGGAAACGGGATTTCTTCATATAACGCTAGACAGAAGAATTCTCAGTAACTTCTTTGTGTTGTGTGTATTCAACTCACAGAGTTGAACCTTTCTTGAGAGAGAGCAGAGTTGAAACACTCTTTCTGTGGAATTTGCTAGTGCAGATTTCAAACGCTTCGAAGACAGTGATAGAAAAGGATATATCTTCGTATTAAAACTAGACAAAATCATTCTCAGAAAACACTTTGTGATGTGTGTGTTCAACTCACAGAGTTTAACCTTTCTTTAATCGAGCAGTTTGGAAATACACTCTTTGTAAGTCTGCAGCTGGATAATTGTCCCTCTATGAGCCCTTCGTTGGAAACGGGATTTCCTCTTATAATGCTAGACAGAAGAATTCTCAGTAACTTCTTTGTGTTGTTTGTATTCAACTCACAGATTTGAACCTTCCTTTAGAGAGAGCAGATTTGAAACACTCTGTTTTTGGAATTTGCAAGTGCAGATTGCAAGCGCTTCTAGGCCTATGGCAGAAAAGGAAATATCTTCGTATAAAAACTACACAGAATCATTCTCAACAACTACTTTGTGATGTGTGCGTTCAACTCACAGAGTTTAACCTTTCTTTTCATAGAGCAGTTTGGAAACACTCTGTTTGTAAAGTCTGCAGGTGCTTATTTGGACTTCTTTGAGGCCTTCGTTGGAAACGGGATTTCTTCATATAATGCTAGACAGAAGAATTCTCAGTCACTTCTTTGTGTTGTGTGTATTCAAGTCACAGAGTTGAACCTTCCTTTACACAGAGCAGTTTTGAAAAACTCTTTCTGTGGAATTTGCAAGTGGAGATTTCAAGCGATTTGAGGCTAATCTTTGAAATGGAAATATCTTCGTGTAAAAACTACACAGAATCATTGTCAGAAACTGCTTTGTTATGTGTGCGTTCAGCTCACAGAGTTCCACCTTTCTTTTCATAGAGCAGTTTGGAAAGACTCTGTCTGTAAAGTCTGCAAGTGATTACTTGGACCCCTTTGAGGACTTCGTTGGAAGCGGGATTTTTTCATTTACTGCTAGACAGAAGAATTCTCAGTAAATCCTTCGTGTTGGGTGTATTCAACTCACAGAGTGGAACCTTCCTTTATTCAGAGCAGTTTTGAAACACTCTTTTTGTGGAATTTGCAAGTGGAGATTTCAAGCGAATTCACGCCAATCTTAGACATGGAAACATCTTCGTATTAAAAGTACACAGAGTCATTCGCAGAAACTAGTTTGTGATGTGTGCCTTCAACTCACAGAGTTTAACCTTTCTTTTCATAGAGCAGTTTGGAAACACTCTATTTGTAAAGTCTGCAAGTGGATATTTGGACCTCTTTGAGGCCTTCGTTGGAAACGGGATTTCTTCATATAACGCTAGACAGAAGAATTCTCAGTAACTTCTTTGTGTTGTGTGTATTCCACTCACAGAGTTGAAGCTTCCTTGAGAGAGAGCAGAGTTGAAACACTCTGTTTGTGGAATTTGCTAGTGCAGATTTCAAACGCTTCGAAGACAGTGATAGAAAAGGATATATCTTCGTATTAAAACTAGACAAAATCATTCTCAGAAAACACTTTGTGATGTGTGTGTTCAACTCACAGAGTTTAACCTTTCTTTAATCGAGCAGTTTGGAAATACACTCTTTGTAAGTCTGCAGCTGGATAATTGTCCCTCTATGAGCCCTTCGTTGGAAACGGGATTTCCTCATATAATGCTAGACAGAAGAATTCTCAGTAACTTCTTTGTGTTGTTTGTATTCAACTCACAGATTTGAACCTTCCTTTGGAGAGAGCAGATTTGAAACACTCTGTTTTTGGAATTTGCAAGTGCAGATTGCAAGCGCTTCTAGGCCTATGGCAGAAAAGGAAATATCTTCGTATAAAAACTACACAGAATCATTCTCAACAACTACTTTGTGATGTGTGCGTTCAACTCACAGAGTTTAACCTTTCTTTTCATAGAGCAGTTTGGAAACACTCTGTTTGTAAAGTCTGCAGGTGCTTATTTGGACTTCTTTGAGGCCTTCGTTGGAAACGGGATTTCTTCATATAATGCTAGAGAGAAGAATTCTCAGTCACTTCTTTGTGTTGTGTGTATTCAAGTCACAGTAGTTGAACCTTCCTTTACACAGAGCAGTTTTGAAAAACTCTTTCTGTGGAATTTGCAAGTGGAGATTTCAAGCGATTTGAGGCTAATCTTTGAAATGGAAATATCTTCGTGTAAAAACTACACAGAATCATTCTCAGAAACTGCTTTGTTATGTGTGCGTTCAGCTCACAGAGTTCCACCTTTCTTTTCATAGAGCAGTTTGGAAAGACTCTGTCTGTAAAGTCTGCAAGTGATTACTTGGACCCCTTTGAGGACTTCGTTGGAAGCGGGATTTTTTCATTTACTGCTAGACAGAGAATTCTCAGTAAATCCTTTGTGTTGTGTGTATTCAACTCACAGAGTTGAACTTTCCTTTATTCAGAGCAGTTTTGAAACACTCTTTTTGTGGAATTTGCAAGTGAACATTTGAAGAGATTTCACACCAATCTTAGACGTGGAAATATCTTCGTATTTAAAGTACACAGAGTCATTCGCAGAAACTAGATTGTGATGTGTGCCTTCAATTCACAGAATTTAACTTTCTTTTCATAGAGCAGTTTGGAAACACTCTATTTGTAAAGTCTGCAAGTGGATATTTGGACCTCTTTGACGCCTTCATTGGAAACGGGATTTCTTCATATAATGCTAGACAGAAGAATTCTCAGTAACTTCTTTGTGTTGTGTGTATTCAACTCACAGAGTTGAACCTTTCTTTAGAGAGAGCAGATTTGAAACACTCTTTTTGTGGAATTTGCTAGTGCAGATTTCAAACGCTTCGAAGACGATGATGGAAAAGGATATATCTTCATATTAAAACTAGACAAAATCATTCTCAGAAAACACTTTGTGATGTGTGTGTTCAACTCACAGAATTTAACCTTTCTTTAATCGAGCAGTTTGGAAATACACTCTTTGTAAAGTCTGCAAGTGGATAATTGGCCCTCTTTGAGCCCTTCGTTGGAAACGGGATTTCCTCATATAGTGCTAGACAGAAGAATTCTCAGTCACTTCTTTGTGTTTTGTGTATTCAAGTCACAGAGTTGAACCTTCCTTTACACAGAGCAGTTTTGAAAAACTCTTTCTGTGGAATTTGCAAGTGGAGATTTCAAGCGATTTGAGGCTAATCTTTGAAATGGAAATAGCTTCGTGTAAAAACTACACAGAATCATTCTCAGAAACTGCTTTGTTATGTGTGCGTTCAGCTCACAGAGTTCCACCTTTCTTTTCATAGAGCAGTTTGGAAAGACTCTGTCTGTAAAGTCTGCAAGTGATTACTTGGACCCCTTTGAGGACTTCGTTGGAAGCGGGATTTTTTCATTTACTGCTAGACAGAAGAATTCTCAGTAAATCCTTTGTGTTGTGTGTATTCAACTCACAGAGTGGAACCTTCCTTTATTCAGAGCAGTTTTGAAACACTCTTTTTGTGGAATTTGCAAGTGGAGATTTCAAGCGAATTCACGCCAATCTTAGACATGGAAACATCTTCGTATTAAAAGTACACAGAGTCATTCGCAGAAACTAGTTTGTGATGTGTGCCTTCAACTCACAGAGTTTAACCTTTCTTTTCATAGAGCATTTTGGAAACACTCTATTTGTAAAGTCTGCAAGTGGATATTTGGACCTCTTTGAGGCCTTCGTTGGAAACGGGATTTCTTCATGTAACGCTAGACAGAAGAATTCTCAGTAACTTCTTTGTGTTGTGTGTATTCCACTCACAGAGTTGAACCTTTCTTGAGAGAGAGCAGAGTTGAAACACTCTGTTTGTGGAATTTGCTAGTGCAGATTTCAAACGCTTCGAAGACAGTGATAGAAAAGGATATATCTTCGTATTAAAACTAGACAAAATCATTCTCAGAAAACACTTTGTGATGTGTGTGTTCAACTCACAGAGTTTAACCTTTCTTTAATCGAGCAGTTTGGAAATACACTCTTTGTAAGTCTGCAGCTGGATAATTGTCCCTCTATGAGCCCTTCGTTGGAAACGGGATTTCCTCTTATAATGCTAGACAGAAGAATTCTCAGTAACTTCTTTGTGTTGTTTGTATTCAACTCACAGATTTGAACCTTCCTTTGGAGAGAGCAGATTTGAAACACTCTGTTTGTGGAATTTGCAAGTGCAGATTGCAAGCGCTTCTAGGCCTATGGCAGAAAAGGAAATATCTTCGTATAAAAACTACACAGAATCATTCTCAACAACTACTTTGTGATGTGTGCGTTCAAATCACAGAGTTTAACCTTTCTTTTCATAGAGCAGTTTGGAAACACTCTGTTTGTAAAGTCTGCAGGTGCTTATTTGGACTTCTTTGAGGCCTTCGTTGGAAACGGGATTTCTTCATATAATGCTAGACAGAAGAATTCTCAGTCACTTCTTTGTGTTGTGTGTATTCAAGTCACAGAGTTGAACCTTCCTTTACACAGAGCAGTTTTGAAAAACTCTTTCTGTGGAATTTGCAAGTGGAGATTTCAAGCGATTTGAGGCTAATCTTTGAAATGGAAATATCTTCGTGTAAAAACTACACAGAATCATTCTCAGAAACTGCTTTGTTATGTGTGCGTTCAGCTCACAGAGTTCCACCTTTCTTTTCATAGAGCAGTTTGGAAAGACTCTGTAAAGTCTGCAAGTGATTACTTGGACCCCTTTGAGGACTTCATTGGAAGCGGGATTTTTTCATTTACTGCTAGACAGAAGAATTCTCAGTAAATCCTTTGTGTTGTGTGTATTCAACTCACAGAGTGGAACCTTCCTTTATTCAGAGCAGTTTTGAAACACTCTTTTTGTGGAATTTGCAAGTGGAGATTTCAAGCGATTTGACGCCAATCTTAGACATGGAAATATCTTCATATTAAAAGTACACAGAGTCATTCGTAGAAACTAGTTTGTGATGTGTGCCTTCAACTCACAGAGTTTAACCTTTCTTTTCATAGAGCATTTGGGAAACACTCTATTTGTAAAGTCTGCAAGTGGATATTTGGACTTCTTTGAGGTCTTCGTTGGAAACGGGATTTCTTCATATAACGCTAGACAGAAGAATTCTCAGTAACTTCTTTGTGTTGTGTGTATTCAACTCACAGAGTTGAACCTTTCTTTAGAGAGAGCAGAGTTGAAACACTCTTTTTGTGGAATTTGCTAGTGCAGATTTCAAACGCTTCGAAGACAGTGATAGAAAAGGATATATCTTCGTATTAAAACTAGACAAAATCATTCTCAGAAAACACTTTGTGATGTGTGTGTTCAACTCACAGAGTTTAACCTTTCTTTAATCGAGCAGTTTGGAAATACACTCTATGTAAGTCTGCAGGTGGATAATTGTCCCTCTTTGAGCCCTTCGTTGGAAACGGAATTTCCTCATATAATGCTAGACAGAAGAATTCTCAGTCACTTCTTTGTGTTGTGTGTATTCAAGTCACAGAGTTGAACCTTCCTTTAGACAGAGCAGTTTTGAAAAATTCTTTCTGTGGAGTTTGCAAGTGGAGATTTCAAGCGATTTGAGGCTAATCTTTGAAATGGAAATATCTTTCGTGTAAAAACTACACAGAATCATTCTCAGAAACTGCTTTGTCATCTGTGCGTTCAGTTCACAGAGTTTCACCTTTCTCTTCATAGAGCAGTTTGGAAAGACTCTGTCTGTAAAGTCTGCAAGTGATTAGTTAGACCCCTTTGAGGCCTTCGTTGGAAGCGGGATTTCTCATTTACTGCTAGACAGAAGAATTCTCAGTAAATCCTTTGTGTTGTGTGTATTCAACTCACAGAGTGGAACCTTCCTTTATTCAGAGCAGTTTTGAAACACTCTTTTTGTGCAATTTGCAAGTGGAGATTTCAAGCGATTTGACGCCAATCTTAGACATGGAAATATCTTCAAATTAAAAGTACACAGAGTCATTCGTAGAAACTAGTTTGTGATGTGTGCCTTCAACTCACAGAGTTTAACCTTTCTTTTCATAGAGCAGTTTGGAAACACTCTATTTGTAAAGTCTGCAAGTGGATATTTGGACCTCTTTGAGGTGTTCGTTGGAAACGGGATTTCTTCATATAACGCTAGACAGAAGAATTCTCAGTAACTTCTTTGTGTTGTTTGTATTCAACTCACTGATTTGAACCTTCCTTTAGAGAGAGCAGATTTGAAACACTCTGTTTTTGGAATTTGCAAGTGCAGATTTTAAGCGCTTCTAGGCCTATGGCAGAAAAGGAAATATCTTCGTATAAAAACTACACAGAATCATTCTCAACAACTACTTTGTGATGTGTGCGTTCAACTCACAGAGTTTAACCTTTCTTTTCATAGAGCAGTTTGGAAACACTCTGTTTGTAAAGCCTGCAAGTGCTTTTTTGGACTTCATTGAGGCCTTCGTTGGAAACGGGATTTCTTCATATAACGCTAGACAGAAGAATTCTCAGTCACTTCTTTGTGTTGTGTGTATTCAAGTCACAGAGTTGAACCTTCCTTTAGACAGAGCAGTTTTGAAAAATTCTTTCTGTGGAATTTGCAAGTGGAGATTTCAAGCGATTTGAGGCTAATCTTTGAAATGGAAATATCTTCGTGTAAAAACTACACAGAATCATTCTCAGAAACTGCTTTGTCATCTGTGCGTTCAGTTCACAGAGTTTCACCTTTCTCTTCATAGAGCAGTTTGGAAAGACTCTGTCTGTAAAGTCTGCAAGTGATTAGTTAGACCCCTTTGAGACCTTCGTTGGAAGCGGGATTTCTCATTTACTGCTAGACAGAAGAATTCTCAGTAAATCCTTTGTGTTGTGTGTATTCAACTCACAGAGTGGAACCTTCCTTTATTCAGAGCAGTTTTGAAACAGTCTTTTTGTGGAATTTGCAAGTGGAGATTTCAAGCGATTTGACGCCAATCTTAGACATGGAAATATCTTCATATTAAAAGTACACAGAGTCATTCGTAGAAACTAGTTTGTGATGTGTGCCTTCAACTCACAGAGTTTAACCTTTCTTTTCATAGAGCAGTTGGGAAACACTCTATTTGTAAAGTCTGCAAGTGGATATTTGGACCTCTTTGAGGCCTTCGTTGGAAACGGGATTTCTTCATATAACGCTAGACAGAAGAATTCTCAGTAACTTCTTTGTGTTGTGTGTATTCAACTCACAGAGTTGAACCTTTCTTTAGAGGGAGCAGAGGTGAAACAGTCTTTTTGTGGAATTTGCTAGTGTAGATTTCAAACGCTTCGAAGTCAGTGATAGAAAAGGATATATCTTCGTATTAAAAGTAGACAAAATCATTCTCAGAAAACTCTTTGTGATGTGTGTGTTCAACTCACAGAGTTTAACCTTTCTTTAATCGAGCAGTTTGGAAATACACTCTTTGTAAGTCTGCAGGTGGATATTTGGCCCTCTTTGAGCCCTTCTTTGGAAACGGGATTTCCTCTTATAATGCTAGACAGAAGAATTCTCAGTAACTTCTTTGTGTTGTTTGTATTCAACACACAGATTTGAACCTTCCTTTAGAGAGAGCAGATTTGAAACACTCTGTTTTTGGAATTTGCAAGTGCAGATTTCAAGCGCTTCTAGGCCTATGGCAGAAAAGGAAATATCTTCGTATAAAAACTACACAGAATCATTCTCAACAACTACTTTGTGATGTGTGCGTTCAACTCACAGAGTTTAACCTTTCTTTTCATAGAGCAGTTTGGAAACACTCTGTAAAGCCTGCAAGTGCTTTTTTGGACTTCATTGAGGCCTTCGTTGGAAACGGGATTTCTTCATATAATGCTAGACAGAAGAATTCTCAGTCACTTCTTTGTGTTGTGTGTATTCAAGTCACAGAGTTGAACCTTCCTTTAGACAGAGCAGTTTTGAAAAATTCTTTCTGTGGAGTTTGCAAGTGGAGATTTCAAGCGATTTGAGGCTAATCTTTGAAATGGAAATATCTTCGTGTAAAAACTACACAGAATCATTCTCAGAAACTGCTTTGTCATCTGTGCGTTCAGTTCACAGAGTTTCACCTTTCTCTTCATAGAGCAGTTTGGAAAGACTCTGTCTGTAAAGTCTGCAAGTGATTAGTTAGACCCCTTTGAGGCCTTCGTTGGAAGCGGGATTTCTCATTTACTGCTAGACAGAAGAATTCTCAGTAAATCCTTTGTGTTGTGTGTATTCAACTCACAGAGTGGAACCTTCCTTTATTCAGAGCAGTTTTGAAACACTCTTTTTGTGGAATTTGCAAGTGGAGATTTCAAGCGATTTGACGCCAATCTTAGACATGGAAATATCTTCATATTAAAAGTACACAGAGTCATTCGTAGAAACTAGTTTGTGATGTGTGCCTTCAACTCACAGAGTTTAACCTTTCTTTTCATAGAGCAGTTGGGAAACACTCTATTTGTAAAGTCTGCAAGTGGATATTTGGACCTCTTTGAGGCCTTCGTTGGAAACGGGATTTCTTCATATAACGCTAGACAGAAGAATTCTCAGTAACTTCTTTGTGTTGTGTGTATTCAACTCACAGAGTTGAACCTTTCTTTAGAGGGAGCAGAGGTGAAACACTCTTTTTGTGGAATTTGCTAGTGTAGATTTCAAACGCTTCGAAGACAGTGATAGAAAAGGATATATCTTCGTATTAAAAGTAGACAAAATCATTCTCAGAAAACTCTTTGTGATGTGTGTGTTCAACTCACAGAGTTTAACCTTTCTTTTCATAGAGCAGTTTGGAAACACTCTGTTTGTAAAGCCTGCAAGTGCTTTTTTGGACTTCATTGAGGCCTTCGTTGGAAACGGGATTTCTTCATACAACGCTAGACAGAAGAATTCTCAGTAACTTCTTTGTGTTGTGTGTATTCAACTCACAGAGTTGAACCTTTCTTTAGAGAGAGCAGAGTTGAAACACTCTGTTTTTGGAATTTGCAAGTGCAGATTTCAAGCGCTTCTAGGCCTATGGCAGAAAAGGAAATATCTTCGTATAAAAACTACACAGAATCATTCTCAACAACTACTTTGTGATGTGTGCGTTCAACTCACAGAGTTTAACCTTTCTTTTCATAGAGCAGTTTGGAAACACTCTGTTTGTAAAGCCTGCAAGTGCTTTTTTGGACTTCATTGAGGCCTTCGTTGGAAACGGGATTTCTTCATATAATGCTAGACAGAAGAATTCTCAGTCACTTCTTTGTGTTGTGTGTATTCAAGTCACAGAGTTGAACCTTCCTTTAGACAGAGCAGTTTTGAAAAATTCTTTCTGTGTAATTTGCAAGTGGAGATTTCAAGCGATTTGAGGCTAATCTTTGAAATGGAAATATCTTCGTGTAAAAACTACACAGAATCATTCTCAGTAAACTGCTTTGTCATCTGTGCGTTCAGTTCACAGAGTTTCACCTTTCTCTTCATAGAGCAGTTTGGAAAGACTCTGTCTGTAAAGTCTGCAAGTGATTAGTTAGACCCCTTTGAGGACTTCGTTGGAAGCGGGATTTCTCATTTACTGCTAGACAGAAGAATTCTCAGTAAATCCTTTGTGTTGTGTGTATTCAACTCACAGAGTGGAACCTTCCTTTATTCAGAGCAGTTTTGAAACACTCTTTTTGTGGAATTTGCAAGTGGAGATTTCAAGCGATTTGACGCCAATCTTAGACATGGAAATATCTTCATATTAAAAGTACACAGAGTCATTCGCAGAAACTAGTTTGTGATGTGTGCCTTCAACTCACAGAGTTTAACCTTTCTTTTCATAGAGCATTTTGGAAACACTCTATTTGTAAAGTCTGCAAGTGGATATTTGGACCTCTTTGAGGCCTTCGTTGGAAACGGGATTTCTTCATGTAACGCTAGACAGAAGAATTCTCTGTAACTTCTTTGTGTTGTGTGTATTCCACTCACAGAGTTGAACCTTTCTTGAGAGAGAGCAGAGTTGAAACACTCTTTCTGTGGAATTTGCTAGTGCAGATTTCAAACGCTTCGAAGACAGTGATAGAAAAGGATATATCTTCGTATTAAAACTAGACAAAATCATTCTCAGAAAACACTTTGTGATGTGTGTGTTCAACTCACAGAGTTTAACCTTTCTTTAATCGAGCAGTTTGGAAATGCACTCTTTGTAAGTCTGCAGGTGGATAATTGTCCCTCTATGAGCCCTTCGTTGGAAACGGGATTTCCTCATATAATGCTAGACAGAAGTATTCTCAGTAACTTCTTTGTGTTGTTTGTATTCAACTCACAGATTTGAAACTTCCTTTAGAGAGAGCAGATTTGAAACACTCTGTTTTTGGAATTTGCAAGTGCAGATTGCAAGCGCTTCTAGGCCTATGGCAGAAAAGGAAATATCTTCGTATAAAAACTACACAGAATCATTCTCAACAACTACTTTGTGATGTGTGCGTTCAACTCACAGAGTTTAACCTTTCTTTTCATAGAGCAGTTTGGAAACACTCTGTTTGTAAAGTCTGCAGGTGCTTATTTGGACCTCTTTGAGGCCTTCGTTGGAAACGGGATTTCTTCATATAACGCTAGACAGAAGAATTCTCAGTCACTTCTTTGTGTTGTGTGTATTCAAGTCACAGAGTTGAACCTTCCTTTACACAGAGCAGTTTTGAAAAACTCTTTCTGTGGAATTTGCAAGTGGAGATTTCAAGCGATTTGAGGCTAATCTTTGAAATGGAAATATCTTCGTGTAAAAACTACACAGAATCATTCTCAGAAACTGCTTTGTTATGTGTGCGTTCAGCTCACAGAGTTCCACCTTTCTTTTCATAGAGCAGTTTGGAAAGACTCTGTCTGTAAAGTCTGCAAGTGATTACTTGGACCCCTTTGAGGACTTCGTTGGAAGCGGGATTTTTTCATTTACTGCTAGACAGAAGAATTCTCAGTAAATCCTTCGTGTTGTGTGTATTCAACTCACAGAGTGGAACCTTCCTTTATTCAGAGCAGTTTTGAAACACTCTTTGTGGAATTTGCAAGTGGAGATTTCAAGCGAATTCACGCCAATCTTAGACATGGAAACATCTTCGTATTAAAAGTACACAGAATCATTCTCAGAAAACACTTTGTGATGTGTGTGTTCAACTCACAGAGTTTAACCTTTCTTTAATCGAGCAGTTTGGAAATACACTCTTTGTAAGTCTGCAGGTGGATAATTGGCCCTCTTTGAGCCCTTCGTTGGAAACAGTATTTCCTCATATAATGCTAGACAGAAGAATTCTCAGTAACTTCTTTGTGTTGTTTGTATTCAACTCACAGATTTGAACCTTCCTTTAGAGAGAATAGATTTGAAACACTCTGTTTTTGGAATTTGCAAGTGCAGATTTCAAGCGATTCTAGGCCTATGGCAGAAAAGGAAATATCTTCGTATAAAAACTACACAGAATCATTCTCAACAACTACTTTGTGATGTGTGCGTTCAACTCACAGAGTTTAACCTTTCTTTTCATAGAGCAGTTTGGAAACACTCTGTTTGTAAAGCCTGCAAGTGCTTTTTTGGACTTCATTGAGGCCTTCGTTGGAAACGGGATTTCTTCATATAATGCTAGACAGAAGAATTCTCAGTCACTTCTTTGTGTTGTGTGTATTCAAGTCACAGAGTTGAGCCTTCCTTTAGACAGAGCAGTTTTGAAAAATTCTTTCTGTGGAGTTTGCAAGTGGAGATTTCAAGCGATTTGAGGCTAATCTTTGAAATGGAAATATCTTCGTGTAAAAACTACACAGAATCATTCTCAGAAACTGCTTTGTCATCTGTGCGTTCAGTTCACAGAGTTTCACCTTTCTCTTCATAGAGCAGTTTGGAAAGACTCTGTCTGTAAAGTCTGCAAGTGATTAGTTAGACCCCATTGAGGCCATTGTTGGAAGCGGGAGTTCTCATTTACTGCTAGACAGAAGAATTCTCAGTAAATCCTTTGTGTTGTGTGTATTCAACTCACAGAGTGGAACCTTCCTTTATTCAGAGCAGTTTTGAAAAACACTTTTTGTGGAATTTGCAAGTGGAGATTTCAAGCGATTTGACGCCAATCTTAGACATGGAAATATCTTCATATTAAAAGTACACAGAGTCATTCGTAGAAACTAGTTTGTGATGTGTGCCTTCAACTCACAGAGTTTAACCTTTCTTTTCATAGAGCAGTTTGGAAACACTCTATTTGTAAAGTCTGCAAGTGGATATTTGGACCTCTTTGAGGCCTTCGTTGGAAACGGGATTTCTTCATACAACGCTAGACAGAAGAATTCTCAGTAACTTCTTTGTGTTGTGTGTATTTAACTCACAGAGTTGAACCTTTCTTTAGAGAGAGCAGAGTTGAAACACTCTGTTTTTGGAATTTGCAACTGCAGATTTCAAGCGATTCTAGGCCTATGGCAGAAAAGGAAATATCTTCGTATAAAAACTACACAGAATCATTCTCAACAACTACTTTGTGATGTGTGCGTTCAACTCACAGAGTTTAACCTTTCTTTTCATAGAGCAGTTTGGAAACACTCTGTTTGTAAAGCCTGCAAGTGCTTTTTTGGACTTCATTGAGGCCTTCGTTGGAAACGGGATTTCTTCATATAATGCTAGACAGAAGAATTCTCAGTCACTTCTTTGTGTTGTGTGTATTCAAGTCACAGAGTTGAACCTTCCTTTAGACAGAGCAGTTTTGAAAAATTCTTTCTGTGGAGTTTGCAAGTGGAGATTTCAAGCGATTTGAGGCTAATCTTTGAAATGGAAATATCTTCGTGTAAAAACTACACAGAATCATTCTCAGAAACTGCTTTGTCATCTGTGCGTTCAGTTCACAGAGTTTCACCTTTCTCTTCATAGAGCAGTTTGGAAAGACTCTGTCTGTAAAGTCTGCAAGTGATTAGTTAGACCCCTTTGAGGCCTTCGTTGGAAGCGGGATTTCTCATTTACTGCTAGACAGAAGAATTCTCAGTAAATCCTTTGTGTTGTGTGTATTCAACTCACAGAGTGGAACCTTCCTTTATTCAGAGCAGTTTTGAAACAGTCTTTTTGTGGAATTTGCAAGTGGAGATTTCAAGCGATTTGACGCCAATCTTAGACATGGAAATATCTTCATATTAAAAGTACACAGAGTCATTCGTAGAAACTAGTTTGTGATGTGTGCCTTCAACTCACAGAGTTTAACCTTTCTTTTCATAGAGCAGTTGGGAAACACTCTATTTGTAAAGTCTGCAAGTGGATATTTGGACCTCTTTGAGGCCTTCGTTGGAAACGGGATTTCTTCATATAACGCTAGACAGAAGAATTCTCAGTAACTTCTTTGTGTTGTGTGTATTCAACTCACAGAGTTGAACCTTTCTTTAGAGGGAGCAGAGGTGAAACACTCTTTTTGTGGAATTTGCTAGTGTAGATTTCAAACGCTTCGAAGACAGTGATAGAAAAGGATATATCTTCGTATTAAAAGTAGACAAAATCATTCTCAGAAAACTCTTTGTGATGTGTGTGTTCAACTCACAGAGTTTAACCTTTCTTTTCATAGAGCAGTTTGGAAACACTCTGTTTGTAAAGTCTGCAAGTGCTTCTTTGGACTTCATTGAGGCCTTCGTTGGAAACGGGATTTCTTCATACAACGCTAGACAGAAGAATTCTCAGTCACTTCTTTGTGTTGTGTGTATTCAAGTCACAGAGTTGAACCTTCTTTTAGACAGAGCAGTTTTGAAAAATTCTTTCTGTGGAATTTGCAATTGGAGATTTTAAGAGATTTGAGGCTAATCTTTGAAATGGAAATATCTTCGTGTAAAAAGTACACAGAATCATTCTCAGAAACTGCTTTGTCATCTGTGCGTTCAGTTCACAGAGTTTCACCTTTCTCTTCATAGAGCAGTTTGGAAAGACTCTGTCTGTAAAGTCTGCAAGTGATTAGTTAGACCCCTTTGAGGCCTTCGTTGGAAGCGGGATTTCTCATTTACTGCTAGACAGAAGAATTCTCAGTAAATCCTTTGTGTTGTGTGTATTCAACTCACAGAGTGGAACCTTCCTTTATTCAGAGCAGTTTTGAAACACTCTTTTTGTGGAATTTGCAAGTGGAGATTTCAAGCGATTTGACGCCAATCTTAGACATGGAAATATCTTCATATTAAAAGTACACAGAGTCATTCGTAGAAACTAGTTTGTGATGTGTGCCTTCAACTCACAGAGTTTAACCTTTCTTTTCATAGAGCAGTTGGGAAACACTCTATTTGTAAAGTCTGCAAGTGGATATTTGGAACTCTTTGAGGCCTTCGTTGGAAACGGGATTTCTTCATATAACGCTAGACAGAAGAATTCTCAGTAACTTCTTTGTGTTGTTTGTATTCAACTCACAAGATTTGAACCTTCCTTTGGAGAGAGCAGATTTGAAACACTCTGTTTTTGGAATTTGCAAGTGCAGATTGCAAGCGCTTCTAGGCCTATGGCAGAAAAGGAAATATCTTCGTATAAAAACTACACAGAATCATTCTCAGAAAACTCTTTGTGATGTGTGTGTTCAACTCACAGAGTTTAACCTTTCTTTAATCGAGCAGTTTGGAAATACACTCTTTGTAAGTCTGCAGGTGGATATTTGGCCCTCTTTGAGCCCTTCGTTGGAAACGGGATTTCCTCATATAATGCTAGACAGAAGAATTCTCAGTAACTTCTTTGTGTTGTTTGTATTCAACACACAGATTTGAACCTTCCTTTAGAGAGAGCAGATTTGAAACACTCTGTTTTTGGAATTTGCAAGTGCAGATTTCATGCGCTTCTAGGCCTATGGCAGAAAAGGAAATATCTTCGTATAAAAACTACACAGAATCATTCTCAACAACTACTTTGTGATGTGTGCGTTCAACTCACAGAGTTTAACCTTTCTTTTCATAGAGCAGTTTGGAAACACTCTGTTTGTAAAGCCTGCAAGTGCTTTTTTGGACTTCATTGAGGCCTTCGTTGGAAACGGGATTTCTTCATATAATGCTAGACAGAAGAATTCTCAGTCACTTCTTTGTGTTGTGTGTATTCAAGTCACAGAGTTGAACCTTCCTTTAGACAGAGCAGTTTTGAAAAATTCTTTCTGTGGAGTTTGCAAGTGGAGATTTCAAGCGATTTGAGGCTAATCTTTGAAATGGAAATATCTTCGTGTAAAAACTACACAGAATCATTCTCAGAAACTGCTTTGTCATCTGTGCGTTCAGTTCACAGAGTTTCACCTTTCTCTTCATAGAGCAGTTTGGAAAGACTCTGTCTGTAAAGTCTGCAAGTGATTAGTTAGACCCCTTTGAGGCCTTCGTTGGAAGCGGGATTTCTCATTTACTGCTAGACAGAAGAATTCTCAGTAAATCCTTTGTGTTATGTGTATTCAACTCACAGAGTGGAACCTTCCTTTATTCAGAGCAGTTTTGAAAAACACTTTTTGTGGAATTTGCAAGTGGAGATTTCAAGCGATTTTACGCCAATCTTAGACATGGAAATATCTTCATATTAAAAGTACACAGAGTCATTCGTAGAAACTAGTTTGTGATGTGTGCCTTCAACTCACAGAGTTTAACCTTTCTTTTCATAGAGCAGTTTGGAAACACTCTATTTGTAAAGTCTGCAAGTGGATATTTGGACCTCTTTGAGGCCTTCATTGGAAACGGGATTTCCTCATACAACGCTAGACAGAAGAATTCTCAGTAACTTCTTTGTGTTGTGTGTATTCAACTCACAGAGTTGAACCTTTCTTTAGAGAGAGCAGAGTTGAAACACTCTGTTTTTGGAATTTGCAAGTGCAGATTTCAAGCGATTCTAGGCCTATGGCAGAAAAGGAAATATCTTCGTATAAAAACTACACAGAATCATTCTCAACAACTACTTTGTGATGTGTGCGTTCAACTCACAGAGTTTAACCTTTCTTTTCATAGAGCAGTTTGGAAACACTCTGTTGGTAAAGCCTGCAAGTGCTTTTTTGGACTTCATTGAGGCCTTCGTTGGAAACGGGATTTCTTCATATAATGCTAGACAGAAGAATTCTCAGTCACTTCTTTGTGTTGTGTGTATTCAAGTCACAGAGTTGAACCTTCCTTTAGACAGAGCAGTTTTGAAAAATTCTTTCTGTGTAATTTGCAAGTGGAGATTTCAAGCGATTTGAGGCTAATCTTTGAAATGGAAATATCTTCGTGTAAAAACTACACAGAATCATTCTCAGAAACTGCTTTGTCATCTGTGCGTTCAGTTCACAGAGTTTCACCTTTCTCTTCATAGAGCAGTTTGGAAAGACTCTGTCTGTAAAGTCTGCAAGTGATTAGTTAGACCCCTTTGAGGCCTTCGTTGGAAGCGGGATTTCTCATTTACTGCTAGACAGAAGAATTCTCAGTAAATCCTTTGTGTTGTGTGTATTCAACTCACAGAGTGGAACCTTCCTTTATACAGAGCAGTTTTGAAAAACACTTTTTGTGGAATTTGCAAGTGGAGATTTCAAGCGATTTGACGCCAATCTTAGACATGGAAATATCTTCATATTAAAAGTACACAGAGTCATTCGTAGAAACTAGTTTGTGATGTGTGCCTTCAACTCACAGAGTTTAACCTTTCTTTTCATAGAGCAGTTGGGAAACACTCTATTTGTAAAGTCTGCAAGTGGATATTTGGACCTCTTTGAGGCCTTCGTTGGAAACGGGATTTCTTCATACAACGCTAGACAGAAGAATTCTCAGTAACTTCTTTGTGTTGTGTGTATTCAACTCACAGAGTTGAACCTTTCTTTAGAGAGAGCAGAGTTGAAACACTCTGTTTTTGGAATTTGCAAGTGCAGATTTCAAGCGATTCTAGGCCTATGGCAGAAAAGGAAATATCTTCGTATAAAAACTACACAGAATCATTCTCAACAACTACTTTGTGATGTGTGCGTTCAACTCACAGAGTTTAACCTTTCTTTTCATAGAGCAGTTTGGAAACACTCTGTTTGTAAAGCCTGCAAGTGCTTTTTTGGACTTCATTGAGGCCTTCGTTGGAAACGGGATTTCTTCATGTAATGCTAGACAGAAGAATTCTCAGTCACTTCTTTGTGTTGTGTGTATTCAAGTCACAGAGTTGAACCTTCCTTTAGACAGAGCAGTTTTGAAAAATTCTTTCTGTGGAGTTTGCAAGTGGAGATTTCAAGCGATTTGAGGCTAATCTTTGAAATGGAAATAACTTCGTGTAAAAACTACACAGAATCATTCTCAGAAACTGCTTTGTCATCTGTGCGTTCAGTTCACAGAGTTTCACCTTTCTCTTCATAGAGCAGTTTGGAAAGACTCTGTCTGTAAATTCTGCAAGTGATTAGTTAGACCCCTTTGAGGACTTCGTTGGAAGCGGGATTTCTCATTTACTGCTAGACAGAAGAATTCTCAGTAAATCCTTTGTGTTGTGTGTATTCAACTCACAGAGTGGAACCTTCCTTTATTCAGAGCAGTTTTGAAACACTCTTTTTGTGGAATTTGCAAGTGGAGATTTCAAGCGATTTGACGCCAATCTTAGACATGGAAATATCTTCATATTAAAAGTACACAGAGTCATTCGTAGAAACTAGTTTGTGATGTGTGCCTTCAACTCACAGAGTTTAACCTTTCTTTTCATAGAGCAGTTGGGAAACACTCTATTTGTAAAGTCTGCAAGTGGATATTTGGACCTCTTTGAGGCCTTCGTTGGAAACGGGATTTCTTCATATAACGCTAGACAGAAGAATTCTCAGTAACTTCTTTGTGTTGTGTGTATTCAACTCACAGAGTTGAACCTTTCTTTAGAGGGAGCAGAGGTGAAACACTCTTTTTGTGGAATTTGCTAGTGTAGATTTCAAACGCTTCGAAGACAGTGATAGAAAAGGATATATCTTCGTATTAAAAGTAGACAAAATCATTCTCAGAAAACACTTTGTGATGTGTGTGTTCAACTCACAGAGTTTAACCTTTCTTTAATCGAGCAGTTTGGAAATACACTCTTTGTAAGTCTGCAGGTGTATATTTGGCCCTCTTTGAGCCCTTCTTTGGAAACGGGATTTCCTCTTATAATGCTAGATAGAAGAATTCTCAGTAACTTCTCTGTGTTGTTTGTATTCAACACACAGATTTGAACCTTCCTTTAGAGAGAGCAGATTTGAAACACTCTGTTTTTGGAATTTGCAAGTGCAGATTTCAAGCACTTCTAGGCCTATGGCAGAAAAGGAAATATCTTCGTATAAAAACTACACAGAATCATTCTCAACAACTACTTTGTGATGTGTGCGTTCAACTCACAGAGTTTAACCTTTCTTTTCATAGAGCAGTTTGGAACCACTCTGTTTGTAAAGCCTGCAAGTGCTTTTTTGGACTTCATTGAGGCCTTCGTTGGAAACGGGATTTCTTCATACAACGCTAGACAGAAGAATTCTCAGTAACTTCTTTGTGTTCTGTGTATTCAACTCACAGAGTTGAACCTTTCTTTAGAGAGAGCAGAGTTGAAACACTCTGTTTTTGGAATTTGCAAGTGCAGATTTCAAGCGATTCTAGGCCTATGGCAGAAAAGGAAATATCTTCGTATAAAAACTACACAGAATCATTCTCAACAACTACTTTGTGATGTGTGCGTTCAACTCACAGAGTTTAACCTTTCTTTTCATAGAGCAGTTTGGAAACACTCTGTTTGTAAAGCCTGCAAGTGCTTTTTTGGACTTCATTGAGGCCTTCGTTGGAAACGGGATTTCTTCATATAATCCTAGACAGAAGAATTCTCAGTCACTTCTTTGTGTTGTGTGTATTCAAGTCACAGAGTTGAACCTTCCTTTAGACAGAGCAGTTTTGAAAAATTCTTTCTGTGGAGTTTGCAAGTGGAGATTTCAAGCGATTTGAGGCTAATCTTTGAAATGGAAATATCTTCGTGTAAAAACTACACAGAATCATTCTCAGAAACTGCTTTGTCATCTGTGCGTTCAGTTCACAGAGTTTCACCTTTCTCTTCATAGAGCAGTTTGGAAAGACTCTGTCTGTAAAGTCTGCAAGTGATTAGTTAGACCCCTTTGAGGCCTTCGTTGGAAGCGGGATTTCTCATTTACTGCTAGACAGAAGAATTCTCAGTAAATCCTTTGTGTTGTGTGTATTCAACTCACAGAGTGGAACCTTCCTTTATTCAGAGCAGTTTTGAAAAACACTTTTTGTGGAATTTGCAAGTGGAGATTTCAAGCGATTTGACGTCAATCTTAGACATGGAAATATCTTCATATTAAAAGTACACAGAGTCATTCGTAGAAACTAGTTTGTGATGTGTGCCTTCAACTCACAGAGTTTAACCTTTCTTTTCATAGAGCAGTTTGGAAACACTCTATTTGTAAAGTCTGCAAGTGGATATTTGGACCTCTTTGAGGCCTTCGTTGGAAACGGGATTTCTTCATACAACGCTAGACAGAAGAATTCTCAGTAATTTCTTTGTGTTGTTTGTATTCAACTCACAGATTTGAACCTTCCTTTAGAGAGAGCAGATTTGAAACACTCTGTTTTTGGAATTTGCAAGTGCAGATTTCAAGCGCTTCTAGGCCTATGGCAGAAAAGGAAATATCTTCGTATAAAAACTACACAGAATCATTCTCAACAACTACTTTGTGATGTGTGCGTTCAACTCACAGAGTTTAACCTTTCTTTTCATAGAGCAGTTTGGAAACACTCTGTTTGTAAAGCCTGCAAGTGCTTTTTTGGACTTCATTGAGGCCTTCGTTGGAAACGGGATTTCTTCATATAATGCTAGACAGAAGAATTCTCAGTCACTTCTTTGTGTTGTGTGTATTCAAGTCACAGAGTTGAACCTTCCTTTACACAGAGCAGTTTTGAAAAACTCTTTCTGTGGAATTTGCAAGTGGAGATTTCAAGCGATTTGAGGCTAATCTTTGAAATGGAAATATCTTCGTGTAAAAACTACACAGAATCATTCTCAGAAACTGCTTTGTTATGTGTGCGTTCAGCTCACAGAGTTCCACCTTTCTTTTCATAGAGCAGTTTGGAAAGACTCTGTCTGTAAAGTCTGCAAGTGATTACTTGGACCCCTTTGAGGACTTCGTTGGAAGCGGGATTTTTTCATTTACTGCTAGACAGAAGAATTCTCAGTAAATCCTTTGTGTTGTGTGTATTCAACTCACAGAGTGGAACCTTCCTTTATTCAGAGCAGTTTTGAAACACTCTTTTTGTGGAATTTGCAAGTGGAGATTTCAAGCGAATTCACGCCAATCTTAGACATGGAAACATCTTCGTATTAAAAGTACACAGAGTCATTCGCAGAAACTAGTTTGTGATGTGTGCCTTCAACTCACAGAGTTTAACCTTTCTTTTCATAGAGCAGTTTGGAAACACTCTATTTGTAAAGTCTGCAAGTGGATATTTGGACCTCTTTGAGGCCTTCGTTGGAAACGGGATTTCTTCATATAACGCTAGACAGAAGAATTCTCAGTAACTTCTTTGTGTTGTGTGTATTCCACTCACAGAGTTGAACCTTTCTTGAGAGAGAGCAGAGTTGAAACACTCTGTTTGGGGAATTTGCTAGTGCAGATTTCAAACGCTTCGAAGACAGTGATAGAAAAGGATATATCTTCGTATTAAAACTAGACAAAATCATTCTCAGAAAACACTTTGTGATGTGTGTGTTCAACTCACAGAGTTTAACCTTTCTTTAATCGAGCAGTTTGGAAATACACTCTTTGTAAGTCTGCAGCTGGATAATTGTCCCTCTATGAGCCCTTCGTTGGAAACAGGATTTCCTCTTATAATGCTAGACAGAAGAATTCTCAGTAACTTCTTTGTGTTGTTTGTATTCAACTCACAGATTTGAACCTTCCTTTGGAGAGAGCAGATTTGAAACACTCTGTTTTTGGAATTTGCAAGTGCAGATTGCAAGCGCTTCTAGGCCTATGGCAGAAAAGGAAATATCTTCGTATAAAAACTACACAGAATCATTCTCAACAACTACTTTGTGATGTGTGCGTTCAGCTCACAGAGTTTAACCTTTCTTTTCATAGAGCAGTTTGGAAACACTCTGTTTGTAAAGTCTGCAGGTGCTTATTTGGACTTCTTTGAGGCCTTCGTTGGAAACGGGATTTCTTCATATAATGCTAGACAGAAGAATTCTCAGTCACTTCTTTGTGTTGTGTGTATTCAAGTCACAGAGCTGAACCTTCCTTTACACAGAGCAGTTTTGAAAAACTCTTTCTGTGCAATTTGCAAGTGGAGATTTCAAGCGATTTGAGGCTAATCTTTGAAATGGAAATATCTTCGTGTAAAAACTACACAGAATCATTCTCAGAAACTGCTTTGTTATGTGTGCGTTCAGCTCACAGAGTTCCACCTTTCTTTTCATAGAGCAGTTTGGAAAGACTCTGTCTGTAAAGTCTGCAAGTGATTACTTGGACCCCTTTGAGGACTTCGTTGGAAGCGGGATTTTTTCATTTACTGCTAGACAGAAGAATTCTCAGTAAATCCTTTGTGTTGTGTGTATTCAACTCACAGAGTGGAACCTTCCTTTATTCAGAGCAGTTTTGAAACACTCTTTTTGTGGAATTTGCAAGTGGAGATTTCAAGCGAATTCACGCCAATCTTAGACATGGAAACATCTTCGTATTAAAAGTACACAGAGTCATTCGCAGAAACTAGTTTGTGATGTGTGCCTTCAACTCACAGAGTTTAACCTTTCTTTTCATAGAGCAGTTTGGAAACACTCTATTTGTAAAGTCTGCAAGTGGATATTTGGACCTCTTTGAGGCCTTCGTTGGAAACGGGATTTCTTCATATAACGCTAGACAGAAGAATTCTCAGTAACTTCTTTGTGTTGTGTGTATTCCACTCACAGAGTTGAACCTTTCTTGAGAGAGAGCAGAGTTGAAACACTCTGTTTGTGGAATTTGCTAGTGCAGATTTCAAACGCTTCGAAGACAGTGATAGAAAAGGATATATCTTCGTATTAAAAGTAGACAAAATCATTCTCAGAAAACACTTTGTGATGTGTGTGTTCAACTCACAGAGTTTAACCTTTCTTTAATCGAGCAGTTTGGAAATACACTCTTTGTAAGTCTGCAGCTGGATAATTGTCCTTCTATGAGCCCTTCGTTGGAAACGGGATTTCCTCATATAATGCTAGACAGAAGAATTCTCAGTAACTTCTTTGTGTTCTTTGTATTCAACTCACAGATTTGAACCTTCCTTTGGAGAGAGCAGATTTGAAACACTCTGTTTTTGGAATTTGCAAGTGCAGATTGCAAGCGCTTCTAGGCCTATGGCAGAAAAGGAAATATCTTCGTATAAAAACTACACAGAATCATTCTCAACAACTACTTTGTGATGTGTGCGTTCAGCTCACAGAGTTTAACCTTTCTTTTCATAGAGCAGTTTGGAAACACTCTGTTTGTAAAGTCTGCAGGTGCTTATTTGGACTTCTTTGAGGCCTTCGTTGGAAACGGGATTTCTTCATATAATGCTAGACAGAAGAATTCTCAGTCACTTCTTTGTGTTGTGTGTATTCAAGTCACAGAGCTGAACCTTCCTTTACACAGAGCAGTTTTGAAAAACTCTTTCTGTGGAATTTGCAAGTGGAGATTTCAAGCGATTTGAGGCTAATCTTTGAAATGGAAATATCTTCGTGTAAAAACTACACAGAATCATTCTCAGAAACTGCTTTGTTATGTGTGCGTTCAGCTCACAGAGTTCCACCTTTCTTTTCATAGAGCAGTTTGGAAAGACTCTGTCTGTAAAGTCTGCAAGTGATTACTTGGACCCCTTTGAGGACTTCGTTGGAAGCGGGATTTTTTCATTTACTGCTAGACAGAAGAATTCTCAGTAAATCCTTTGTGTTGTGTGTATTCAACTCACAGAGTGGAACCTTCCTTTATTCAGAGCAGTTTTGAAACACTCTTTTTGTGGAATTTGCAAGTGGAGATTTCAAGCGAATTCACGCCAATCTTAGACATGGAAACATCTTCGTATTAAAAGTACACAGAGTCATTCGCAGAAACTAGTTTGTGATGTGTGCCTTCAACTCACGGAGTTTAACCTTTCTTTTCATAGAGCAGTTTGGAAACACTCTATTTGTAAAGTCTGCAAGTGGATATTTGGACCTCTTTGAGGCCTTCGTTGGAAACGGGATTTCTTCATATAACGCTAGACAGAAGAATTCTCAGTAACTTCTTTGTGTTGTGTGTATTCCACTCACAGAGTTGAACCTTTCTTGAGAGAGAGCAGAGTTGAAACACTCTGTTTGTGGAATTTGCTAGTGCAGATTTCAAACGCTTCGAAGACAGTGATAGAAAAGGATATATCTTCGCATTAAAACTAGACAAAATCATTCTCAGAAAACACTTTGTGATGTGTGTGTTCAACTCACAGAGTTTAACCTTTCTTTAATCGAGCAGTTTGGAAATACACTCTTTGTAAGTCTGCAGCTGGATAATTGTCCCTCTATGAGCCCTTCGTTGGAAACGGGATTTCCTCATATAATGCTAGACAGAAGAATTCTCAGTAACTTCTTTGTGTTGTTTGTATTCAACTCACAGATTTGAACCTTCCTTTAGAGAGAGCAGATTTGAAACACTCTGTTTTTGGAATTTGCAAGTGCAGATTGCAAGCGCTTCTAGGCCTATGGCAGAAAAGGAAATATCTTCGTATAAAAACTACACAGAATCATTCTCAACAACTACTTTGTGATGTGTGCGTTCAACTCACAGAGTTTAACCTTTCTTTTCATAGAGCAGTTTGGAAACACCCTGTTTGTAAAGTCTGCAGGTGCTTATTTGGACTTCTTTGAGGCCTTCGTTGGAAACGGGATTTCTTCATATAATGCTAGACAGAAGAATTCTCAGTCACTTCTTTGTGTTGTGTGTATTCAAGTCACAGAGTTGAACCTTCCTTTACACAGAGCAGTTTTGAAAAACTCTTTCTGTGGAATTTGCAAGTGGAGATTTCAAGCGATTTGAGGCTAATCTTTGAAATGGAAATATCTTCATGTAAAAACTACACAGAATCATTCTCAGAAACTGCTTTGTTATGTGTGCGTTCAGCTCACAGAGTTCCACCTTTCTTTTCATAGGGCAGTTTGGAAAGACTCTGTCTGTGAAGTCTGCAAGTGATTACTTGGACCCCTTGGAGGACTTCGTTGGAAGCGGGATTTTTTCATTTACTGCTAGACAGAAGAATTCTCAGTAAATCCTTTGTGTTGTGTGTATTCAACTCACAGAGTGGAACCTTCCTTTATTCAGAGCAGTTTTGAAACACTCTTTTTGTGGAATTTGCAAGTGGAGATTTCAAGCGAATTCACGCCAATCTTAGACATGGAAACATCTTCGTATTAAAAGTACACAGAGTCATTCGCAGAAACTAGTTTGAGATGTGTGCCTTCAACTCACGGAGTTTAACCTTTCTTTTCATAGAGCAGTTTGGAAACACTCTATTTGTAAAGTCTGCAAGTGGATATTTGGACCTCTTTGAGGCCTTCGTTGGAAACGGGATTTCTTCATATAACGCTAGACAGAAGAATTCTCTGTAACTTCTTTGTGTTGTGTGTATTCCACTCACAGAGTTGAACCTTTCTTGAGAGAGAGCAGAGTGGAAACACTCTTTTTGTGGAATTTGCTAGTGCAGATTTCAAACGCTTCGAAGACAGTGATAGAAAAGGATATATCTTCGTATTAAAACTAGACAAAATCATTCTCAGAAAACACTTTGTGATGTGTGTGTTCAACTCACAGAGTTTAACCTTTCTTTAATCGAGCAGTTTGGAAATACACTCTTTGTAAGTCTGCAGCTGGATAATTGTCCCTCTATGAGCCCTTCGTTGGAAACAGGATTTCCTCTTATAATGCTAGACAGAAGAATTCTCAGTAACTTCTTTGTGTTGCTTGTATTCAACTCACAGATTTGAACCTTCCTTTAGAGAGAGCAGATTTGAAACACTCTGTTTTTGGAATTTGCAAGTGCAGATTACAAGCGCTTCTAGGCCTATGGCAGAAAAGGAAATATCTTCGTATAAAAACTACACAGAATCATTCTCAACAACTACTTTGTGATGTGTGCGTTCAACTCACAGAGTTTAACCTTTCTTTTCATAGAGCAGTTTGGAAACACTCTGTTTGTAAAGTCTGCAGGTGCTTATTTGGACTTCTTTGAGGCCTTCGTTGGAAACGGGATTTCTTCATATAATGCTAGACAGAAGAATTCTCAGTCACTTCTTTGTGTTGTGTGTATTCAAGTCACAGAGTTGAACTTTCCTTTACACAGAGCAGTTTTGAAAAACTCTTTCTGTGGAATTTGCAAGTGGAGATTTCAAGCGATTTGAGGCTAATACTTTGAAATGGAAATAGCTTCGTGTAAAAACTACACAGAATCATTCTCAACAACTACTTTGTGATGTGTGCGTTCAACTCACAGAGTTTAACCTTTCTTTTCATAGAGCAGTTTGGAAACACTCTGTTTGTAAAGTCTGCAGGTGCTTATTTGGACTTCCTTTGAGGCCTTCGTTGGAAACGGGATTTCTTCATGTAATGCTAGACAGAAGAATTTTCAGTAACTTTTTTGTGTTGTGTCTGTTCAACTCACAGTTTTGAAACTTCCTTTACAGAGAGCAGATTTGAAACACTCTTTTTGTGGAATTTGCAAGTGCAGATTTCAAGCGCTTCTAGGCCAATGGTAGAAAAGGAAGTATCTTCGTATAAAAACTAGACAGAATCATTCTAAAGAACTACTTTGTGATGTGTGCATTCAACTCACAGAGTTTAACCTTTCTTTTCATAGAGCAGTTTGGAAACACTCTGTTTGTAAAGTCTGCAAGTGCATATTTGGACTTCTTTGAGGCCTTTGTTGGAAACGGGATTTCTTCATATAATGCTAGACAGAAGAATTCTCAGTCACTTCTTTGTGTTGTGTGTATTCAAGTCACAGAGTTGAACCTTCCTTTACACAGAGCAGTTTTGAAAAACTCTTTCTGTGGAATTTGCAAGTGGAGATTTCAAGCGATTTGAGGCTAATCTTTGGAATGGAAATAGCTTCGTGTAAAAACTACACAGAATCATTGTCAGAAACTGCTTTGTTATGTGTGCGTTCAGCTCACAGAGTTCCACCTTTCTTTTCATAGAGCAGTTTGGAAAGACTCTGTCTGTAAAGTCTGCAAGTGATGACTTGGACCCCTTTGAGGACTTCGTTGGAAGCGGGATTTTTTCATTTACTGCTAGACAGAAGAATTCTCAGTAAATCCTTTGTGTTGTGTGTATTCAACTCACAGAGTGGAACCTTCCTTTATTCAGAGCAGTTTTGAAACACTCTTTTTGTGGAATTTGCAAGTGGAGATTTCAAGCGAATTCACGCCAATCTTAGACATGGAAACATCTTCGTATTAAAAGTACACAGAGTCATTCGCAGAAACTAGTTTGTGATGTGTGCCTTCAACTCACAGAGTTTAACCTTTCTTTTCATAGAGCAGTTTGGAAACACTCTATTTGTAAAGTCTGCAAGTGGATATTTGGACCTCTTTGAGGCCTTCGTTGGAAACGGGATTTCTTCATATAACGCTAGACAGAAGAATTCTCAGTAACTTCTTTGTGTTGTGTGTATTCCACTCACAGAGTTGAACCTTTCTTGAGAGAGAGCAGAGTTGAAACACTCTGTTTGTGGAATTTGCTTGTGCCGATTTCAAACGCTTCGAAGACAGTGATAGAAAAGGATATATCTTCGTATTAAAACTACACAAAATCATTCTCAGAAAACACTTTGTGATGTGTGTGTTCAACTCACAGAGTTTAACCTTTCTTTAATCGAGCAGTTTGGAAATACACTCTTTGTAAGTCTGCAGCTGGATAATTGTCCCTCTATGAGCCCTTCGTTGGAAACGGGATTTCCTCATATAATGCTAGACAGAAGAATTCTCAGTAACTTCTTTGTGTTGTTTGTATTCAACTCACAGATTTGAACCTTCCTTTGGAGAGAGCAGATTTGAAACACTCTGTTTTTGGAATTTGCAAGTGCAGATTGCAAGCGCTTCTAGGCCTATGGCAGAAAAGGAAATATCTTCGTATAAAAACTACACAGAATCATTCTCAACAACTACTTTGTGATGTGTGCGTTCAACTCACAGAGTTTAACCTTTCTTTTCATAGAGCAGTTTGGAAACACTCTGTTTGTAAAGTCTGCAGGTGCTTATTTGGACTTCTTTGAGGCCTTCGTTGGAAACGGGATTTCTTCATATAATGCTAGACAGAAGAATTCTCAGTCACTTCTTTGTGTTGTGTGTATTCAAGTCACAGAGTTGAACCTTCCTTTACACAGAGCAGTTTTGAAAAACTCTTTCTGTGGAATTTGCAAGTGGAGATTTCAAGCGATTTGAGGCTAATCTTTGAAATGGAAATATCTTCTTGTAAAAACTACACAGAATCATTCTCAGAAACTGCTTTGTTATGTGTGCGTTCAGCTCACAGAGTTCCACCTTTCTTTTCATAGAGCAGTTTGGAAAGACTCTGTCTGTAAAGTCTGCAAGTGATTACTTGGACCCCTTTGAGGACTTCGTTGGAAGCGGGATTTTTTCATTTACTGCTAGACAGAAGAATTCTCAGTAAATCCTTTGTGTTGTGTGTATTCAACTCACAGAGTGGAACCTTCCTTTATTCAGAGCAGTTTTGAAACACTCTTTTTGTGGAATTTGCAAGTGGAGATTTCAAGCGAATTCACGCCAATCTTAGACATGGAAACATCTTCGTATTAAAAGTACACAGAGTCATTCGCAGAAACTAGTTTGTGATGTGTGCCTTCAACTCACGGAGTTTAACCTTTCTTTTCATAGAGCAGTTTGGAAACACTCTATTTGTAAAGTCTGCAAGTGGATATTTGGACCTCTTTGAGGCCTTCGTTGGAAACGGGATTTCTTCATATAACGCTAGACAGAAGAATTCTCAGTAACTACTTTGTGTTGTGTGTATTCCACTCACAGAGTTGAACCTTTCTTGAGAGAGAGCAGAGTTGAAACACTCTGTTTGTGGAATTTGCTAGTGCAGATTTCAAACGCTTCGAAGACAGTGATAGAAAAGGATATATCTTCGTATTAAAACTAGACAAAATCATTCTCAACAACTACTTTGTGATGTGTGCGTTCAACTCACAGAGTTTAACCTTTCTTTTCATAGAGCAGTTTGGAAACACTCTGTTTGTAAAGCCTGCAAGTGCTTTTTTGGACTTCATTGAGGCCTTCGTTGGAAACGGGATTTCTTCATATAATGCTAGACAGAAGAATTCTCAGTCACTTCTTTGTGTTGTGTGTATTCAAGTCACAGAGTTGAACCTTCCTTTAGACAGAGCAGTTTTGAAAAATTCTTTCTGTGGAGTTTGCAAGTGGAGATTTCAAGCGATTTGAGGCTAATCTTTGAAATGGAAATATCTTCGTGTAAAAACTACACAGAATCATTCTCAACAACTACTTTGTGATGTGTGCATTCAACTCACAAAGTTTAACCTTTCTTTTCATAGAGCAGTTTGGAAACACTCTGTTTGTAAAGCCTGCAATTGCTTTTTTGGACTTCATTGAGGCCTTCGTTGGAAACGGGATTTCTTCATATAATGCTAGACAGAAGAATTCTCAGTAAATCCTTTGTGTTGTGTGTATTCAACTCACAGAGTGGAACCTTCCTTTATTCAGAGCAGTTTTGAAAAATACTTTTTGTGGAATTTGCAAGTGGAGATTTCAAGCGATTTGACGCCAATCTTAGACATGGAAATATCTTCATATTAAAAGTACACAGAGTCATTCGTAGAAACTAGTTTGTGATGTGTGCCTTCAACTCACAGTAGTTTAACCTTTCTTTTCATAGAGCAGTTTGGAAACACTCTATTTGTAAAGTCTGCAAGTGGATATTTGGACCTCTTTGAGGCCTTCGTTGGAAACGGGATTTCTTCATATAACGCTAGACAGAAGAATTCTCAGTAACTTCTTTGTGTTGTTTGTATTCAACTCACAGATTTGAACCTTCCTTTAGAGAGAGCAGATTTGAAACACTCTGTTTTTGGAATTTGCAAGTGCAGATTTCAAGCGCTTGCTAGGCCTATGGCAGAAAAGGAAATATCTTCATATAAAAACTACACAGAAATCATTCTCAACAACTACTTTGTGATGTGTGCGTTCAACTCACAAAGTTTAACTTTTCTTTTCAAAGAGCAGTTTGGAAACACTCTGTTTGTAAAGCCTGCAATTGCTTTTTTGGTCTTCATTGAGGCCTTCGTTGGAAAGGGGATTTCTTCATATAATGCTAGACAGAAGAATTCTCAGTCACTTCTTTGTGTTGTGTGTATTCAAGTCACAGAGTTGAACCTTCCTTTAGACAGAGCAGTTTTGAAAAATTCTTTCTGTGGAGTTTGCAAGTGGAGATTTCAAGCGATTTGAGGCTAATCTTTGAAATGGAAATATCTTCGTGTAAAAACTACACAGAATCATTCTCAGAAACTGCTTTGTCATCTGTGCGTTCAGTCCACAGAGTTTCACCTTTCTCTTCATAGAGCAGTTTGGAAAGACTCTGTCTGTAAAGTCTGCAAGTGATTAGTTAGACCCCTTTGAGGCCTTCGTTGGAAGCGGGATTTCTCATTTACTGCTAGACAGAAGAATTCTCAGTAAATCCTTTGTGTTGTGTGTATTCAACTCACAGAGTGGAACCTTCCTTTATTCAGAGCAGTTTTGAAAAACACTTTTTGTGGAATTTGCAAGTGGAGATTTCAAGCGATTTGACGCCAATCTTAGACATGGAAATATCTTCATATTAAAAGTACACAGAGTCATTCGTAGAAACTAGTTTGTGATGTGTGCCTTCAACTCACAGCAGTTTAACCTTTCTTTTCATAGAGCAGTTTGGAAACACTCTATTTGTAAAGTCTGCAAGTGGATATTTGGACCTCTTTGAGGCCTTCGTTGGAAACGGGATTTCTTCATACAACGCTAGACAGAAGAATTCTCAGTAACTTCTTTGTGTTGTGTGTATTCAACTCACAGAGTTGAACCTTTCTTTAGAGAGAGCAGAGTTGAAACACTCTGTTTTTGGAATTTGCAACTGCAGATTTCAAGCGATTCTAGGCCTATGGCAGAAAAGGAAATATCTTCGTATAAAAACTACACAGAATCATTCTCAACAACTACTTTGTGATGTGTGCGTTCAACTCACAGAGTTTAACCTTTCTTTTCATAGAGCAGTTTGGAAACACTCTGTTTGTAAAGCCTGCAAGTGCTTTTTTGGACTTCATTGAGGCCTTCGTTGGAAACGGGATTTCTTCATATAATGCTAGACAGAAGAATTCTCAGTCACTTCTTTGTGTTGTGTGTATTCAAGTCACAGAGTTGAACCTTCCTTTAGACAGAGCAGTTTTGAAAAATTCTTTCTGTGGAGTTTGCAAGTGGAGATTTCAAGCGATTTGAGGCTAATCTTTGAAATGGAAATATCTTTCGTGTAAAAACTACACAGAATCATTCTCAGAAACTGCTTTGTCATCTGTGCGTTCAGTTCACAGAGTTTCACCTTTCTCTTCATAGAGCAGTTTGGAAAGACTCTGTCTGTAAAGTCTGCAAGTGATTAGTTAGACCCCTTTGAGGCCTTCGTTGGAAGCGGGATTTCTCATTTACTGCTAGACAGAAGAATTGTCAGTAAATCCTTTGTGTTGTGTGTATTCAACTCACAGAGTGAAACCTTCCTTTATTCAGAGCAGTTTTGAAAAACACTTTTTGTGGAATTTGCAAGTGGAGATTTCAAGCGATTTGACGCCAATCTTAGACATGGAAATATCTTCATATTAAAAGTACACAGAGTCATTCGTAGAAACTAGTTTGTGATGTGTGCCTTCAACTCACAGAGTTTAACCTTTCTTTTCATAGAGCAGTTTGGAAACACTCTATTTGTAAAGTCTGCAAGTGGATATTTGGACCTCTTTGAGGCCTTCGTTGGAAACGGGATTTCTTCATACAACGCTAGACAGAAGAATTCTCAGTAACTTCTTTGTGTTGTGTGTATTCAACTCACAGAGTTGAACCTTTCTTTAGAGAGAGCAGAGTTGAAACACTCTGTTTTTGGAATTTGCAACTGCAGATTTCAAGCCATTCTAGGCCTATGGCAGAAAAGGAAATATCTTCGTATAAAAACTACACAGAATCATTCTCAACAACTACTTTGTGATGTGTGCGTTCAACTCACAGAGTTTAACCTTTCTTTTCATAGAGCAGTTTGGAAACACTCTGTTTGTAAAGCCTGCAAGTGCTTTTTTGGACTTCATTGAGGCCTTCGTTGGAAACGGGATTTCTTCATATAATGCTAGACAGAAGAATTCTCAGTCACTTCTTTGTGTTGTGTGTATTCAAGTCACAGAGTTGAACCTTCCTTTAGACAGAGCAGTTTTGAAAAATTCTTTCTGTGGAGTTTGCAAGTGGAGATTTCAAGCGATTGGAGGCTAATCTTTGAAATGGAAATATCTTCGTGTAAAAACTACACAGAATCATTCTCAGAAACTGCTTTGTCATCTGTGCGTTCAGTTCACAGAGTTTCACCTTTCTCTTCATAGAGCAGTTTGGAAAGACTCTGTCTGTAAAGTCTGCAAGTGATTAGTTAGACCCCTTTGAGGCCTTCGTTGGAAGCGGGATTTCTCATTTACTGCTAGACAGAAGAATTCTCAGTAAATCCTTTGTGTTGTGTGTATTCAACTCACAGAGTGGAACCTTCCTTTATTCAGAGCACTTTTGAAAAACACTTTTTGTGGAATTTGCAAGTGGAGATTTCAAGCGATTTGAAGCCAATCTTAGACATGGAAATATCTTCATATTAAAAGTACACAGAGTCATTCGTAAAAACTAGTTTGTGATGTGTGCCTTCAACTCACAGAGTTTAACCTTTCTTTTCATAGAGCAGTTTGGAAACACTCTATTTGTAAAGTCTGCAAGTGGATATTTGGACCTCTTTGTGGCCTTCGTTGGAAACGGGATTTCTTCATATAACGCTAGACAGAAGAATTCTCAGTAACTTCTTTGTGTTGTGTGTATTCAACTCACAGAGTTGAACCTTTCTTTAGAGAGAGCAGAGTTGAAACACTCTGTTTTTGGAATTTGCAAGTGCAGATTTCAAGCGATTCTAGGCCTATGGCAGAAAAGGAAATATCTTCGTATAAAAACTACACAGAATCATTCTCAACAACTACTTTGTGATGTGTGCGTTCAACTCACAGAGTTTAAACTTTCTTTTCATAGAGCAGTTTGGAAACACTCTGTTTGTAAAGCCTGCAAGTGCTTTTTTGGACTTCATTGAGGCCTTCGTTGGAATCGGGATTTCTTCATATAATGCTAGACAGAAGAATTCTCAGTCACTTCTTTGTGTTGTGTGTATTCAAGTCACAGAGTTGAACCTTCCTTTAGACAGAGCAGTTTTGAAAAATTCTTTCTGTGGAATTTGCAAGTGGAGATTTCAAGCGATTTGAGGCTAATCTTTGAAATGGAAATATCTTCGTGTAAAAACTACACAGAATCATTCTCAGAAACTGCTTTGTTATCTGTGCGTTCAGTTCACAGAGTTTCACCTTTCTCTTCATAGAGCAGTTTGGAAAGACTCTGTCTGTAAGTCTGCAAGTGATTAGTTAGACCCCTTTGAGGCCTTCGTTGGAAGCGGGATTTGTCATTTACTGCTAGACAGAAGAATTCTCAGTAAATCCTTTGTGTTGTGTGTATTCAACTCACAGAGTGGAACCTTCCTTTATTCAGAGCAGTTTTGAAAAACACTTTTTGTGGAATTTGCAAGTGGAGATTTCAAGCGATTTGACGCCAATCTGAGACATGGAAATATCTTCATATTAAAAGTACACAGAGTCATTCGTAGAAACTAGTTTGTGATGTGTGCCTTCAACTCACAGAGTTTAACCTTTCTTTTCATAGAGCAGTTTGGAAACACTCTATTTGTAAAGTCTGCAAGTGGATATTTGGACCTCTTTGAGGCCTTCGTTGGAAACGGGATTTCTTCATACAACGCTAGACAGAAGAATTCTCAGTAACTTCTTTGTGTTGTGTGTATTCAACTCACAGAGTTGAACCTTTCTTTAGAGAGAGCAGAGTTGAAACACTCTGTTTTTGGAATTTGCAACTGCAGATTTCAAGCGATTCTAGGCCTATGGTAGAAAAGGAAATATCTTCGTATAAAAACTACACAGAATCATTCTCAACAACTACTTTGTGATGTGTGCGTTCAACTCACAGAGTTTAACCTTTCTTTTCATAGAGCAGTTTGGAAACACTCTGTTTGTAAAGCCTGCAAGTGCTTTTTTGGACTTCATTGAGGCCTTCGTTGGAAACGGGATTTCTTCATATAATGCTAGACAGAAGAATTCTCAGTCACTTCTTTGTGTTGTGTGTATTCAAGTCACAGAGTTGAACCTTCCTTTAGACAGAGCAGTTTTGAAAAATTCTTTCTGTGGAGTTTGCAAGTGGAGATTTCAAGCGATTTGAGGCTAATCTTTGAAATGGAAATATCTTCGTGTAAAAACTACACAGAATCATTCTCAGAAACTGCTTTGTCATCTGTGCGTTCAGTTCACACAGTTTCACCTTTCTCTTCATAGAGCAGTTTGGAAAGACTCTGTCTGTAAAGTCTGCAAGTGATTAGTTAGACCCCTTTGAGGCCTTCGTTGGAAGCGGGATTTCTCATTTACTGCTAGACAGAAGAATTCTCAGTAAATCCTTTGTGTTGTGTGTATTCAACTCACAGAGTGGAACCTTCCTTTATTCAGAGCAGTTTTGAAAAACACTTTTTGTGGAATTTGCAAGTGGAGATTTCAAGCGATTTGACGCCAATCTTAGACATGGAAATATCTTCATATTAAAAGTACACAGAGTCATTCGTAGAAACTAGTTTGTGATGTGTGCCTTCAACTCACAGAGTTTAACCTTTCTTTTCATAGAGCAGTTTGGAAACACTCTATTTGTAAAGTCTGCAAGTGGATATTTGGACCTCTTTGAGGCCTTCGTTGGAAACGGGATTTCTTCATACAACGCTAGACAGAAGAATTCTCAGTAACTTCTTTGTGTTGTGTGTATTCAACTCACAGAGTTGAACCTTTCTTTAGAGAGAGCAGAGTTGAAACACTCTGTTTTTGGAATTTGCAACTGCAGATTTCAAGCGATTCTAGGCCTATGGCAGAAAAGGAAATATCTTCGTATAAAAACTACACAGAATCATTCTCAACAACTACTTTGTGATGTGTGCGTTCAACTCACAGAGTTTAACCTTTCTTTTCATAGAGCAGTTTGGAAACACTCTGTTTGTAAAGCCTGCAAGTGCTTTTTTGGACTTCATTGAGGCCTTCGTTGGAAACGGGATTTCTTCATGTAATGCTAGACAGAAGAATTCTCAGTCACTTCTTTGTGTTGTGTGTATTCAAGTCACAGAGTTGAACCTTCCTTTAGACAGAGCAGTTTTGAAAAATTCTTTCTGTGTAATTTGCAAGTGGAGATTTCAAGCGATTTGAGGCTAATCTTTGAAATGGAAATATCTTCGTGTAAAAACTACACAGAATCATTCTCAGAAACTGCTTTGTCATCTGTGCGTTCAGTTCACAGAGTTTCACCTTTCTCTTCATAGAGCAGTTTGGAAAGACTCTGTCTGTAAAGTCTGCAAGTGATTAGTTAGACCCCTTTGAGGCCTTCGTTGGAAGCGGGATTTCTCATTTACTGCTAGACAGAAGAATTCTCAGTAAATCCTTTGTGTTGTGTGTATTCAACTCACAGAGTGGAACCTTCCTTTATTCAGAGCAGTTTTGAAACACTCTTTTTGTGGAATTTGCAAGTGGAGATTTCAAGCGATTTGACGCCAATCTTAGACATGGAAATATCTTCATATTAAAAGTACACAGAGTCATTCGTAGAAACTAGTTTGTGATGTGTGCCTTCAACTCACAGAGTTTAACCTTTCTTTTCATAGAGCAGTTGGGAAACACTCTATTTGTAAAGTCTGCAAGTGGATATTTGGACCTCTTTGAGGCCTTCGTTGGAAACGGGATTTCTTCATATAACGCTAGACAGAAGAATTCTCAGTAACTTCTTTGTGTTGTGTGTATTCAACTCACAGAGTTGAACCTTTCTTTAGAGGGAGCAGAGGTGAAACACTCTTTTTGTGGAATTTGCTAGTGTAGATTTCAAACGCTTCGAAGACAGTGATAGAAAAGGATATATCTTCGTATTAAAAGTAGACAAAATCATTCTCAGAAAACTCTTTGTGATGTGTGTGTTCAACTCACAGAGTTTAACCTTTCTTTTCATAGAGCAGTTTGGAAACACTCTGTTTGTAAAGCCTGCAAGTGCTTTTTTGGACTTCATTGAGGCCTTCGTTGGAAACGGGATTTCTTCATACAACGCTAGACAGAAGAATTCTCAGTAACTTCTTTGTGTTGTGTGTATTCAACTCACAGAGTTGAACCTTTCTTTAGAGAGAGCAGAGTTGAAACACTCTGTTTTTGGAATTTGCAAGTGCAGATTTCAAGCGATTCTAGGCCTATGGCAGAAAAGGAAATATCTTCGTATAAAAACTACACAGAATCATTCTCAACAACTACTTTGTGATGTGTGCGTTCAACTCACAGAGTTTAACCTTTCTTTTCATAGAGCAGTTTGGAAACACTCTGTTTGTAAAGCCTGCAAGTGCTTTTTTGGACTTCATTGAGGCCTTCGTTGGAAACGGGATTTCTTCATATAATGCTAGACAGAAGAATTCTCAGTCACTTCTTTGTGTTGTGTGTATTCAAGTCACAGAGTTGAACCTTCCTTTAGACAGAGCAGTTTTGAAAAATTCTTTCTGTGTAATTTGCAAGTGGAGATTTCAAGCGATTTGAGGCTAATCTTTGAAATGGAAATATCTTCGTGTAAAAACTGCACAGAATCATTCTCAGAAACTGCTTTGTCATCTGTGCGTTCAGTTCACAGAGTTTCACCTTTCTCTTCATAGAGCAGTTTGGAAAGACTCTGTCTGTAAAGTCTGCAAGTGATTAGTTAGAACCCTTTGAGGCCTTCGTTGGAAGCGGGATTTCTCATTTACTGCTAGACAGAAGAATTCTCAGTAAATCCTTTGTGTTGTGTGTATTCAACTCACAGAATGGAACCTTCCTTTATTCAGAGCAGTTTTGAAACACTCTTTTTGTGGAATTTGCAAGTGGAGATTTCAAGCGATTTGACGCCAATCTTAGACATGGAAATATCTTCATATTAAAAGTACACAGAGTCATTCGTAGAAACTAGTTTGTGATGTGTGCCTTCAACTCACAGAGTTTAACCTTTCTTTTCATAGAGCAGTTGGGAAACACTCTATTTGTAAAGTCTGCAAGTGGATATTTGGACCTCTTTGAGGCCTTCGTTGGAAACGGGATTTCTTCATATAACGCTAGACAGAAGAATTCTCAGTAACTTCTTTGTGTTGTGTGTATTCAACTCACAGAGTTGAACCTTTCTTTAGAGGGAGCAGAGGTGAAACACTCTTTTTGTGGAATTTGCTAGTGTAGATTTCAAACGCTTCGAAGTCAGTGATAGAAAAGGATATATCTTCGTATTAAAAGTAGACAAAATCATTCTCAACAACTACTTTGTGATGTGTGCGTTCAACTCACAGAGTTTAACCTTTCTTTTCATAGAGCATTTTGGAAACACTCTGTTTGTAAAGCCTGCAAGTGCTTTTTTGGACTTCATTGAGGCCTTCGTTGGAAACGGGATTTCTTCATATAATGCTAGACAGAAGAATTCTCAGTCACTTCTTTGTGTTGTGTGTATTCAGGTCACAGAGTTGAACCTTCCTTTAGACAGAGCAGTTTTGAAAAATTCTTTCTGTGGAATTTGCAAGTGGAGATTTCAAGCGATTTGAGGCTAATCTTTGAAATGGAAATATCTTCGTGTAAAAACTACACAGAATCATTCTCAACAACTACTTTGTGATGTGTGCGTTCAACTCACAGAGTTTAACCTTTCTTTTCATAGAGCAGTTTGGAAACACTCTGTTTGTAAATCCTGCAAGTGCTTTTATGGACTTCATTGAGGCCTTCGTTGGAAACGGGATTTCTTCATATAATGCTAGACAGAAGAATTCTCAGTCACTTCTTTGTGTTGTGTGTATTCAAGTCACAGAGTTGAACCTTCCTTTAGACAGAGCAGTTTTGAAAAATTCTTTCTGTGGAGTTTGCAAGTGGAGATTTCAAGCGATTTGAGGCTAATCTTTGAAATGGAAATATCTTCGTGTAAAAACTACACAGAATCATTCTCAGAAACTGCTTTGTCATCTGTGCGTTCAGTTCACAGAGTTTCACCTTTCTCTTCATAGAGCAGTTTGGAAAGACTCTGTCTGTAAAGTCTGCAAGTGATTAGTTAGACCCCTTTGAGGCCTTCGTTGGAAGCGGGATTTCTCATTTACTGCTAGACAGAAGAATTCTCAGTAAATCCTTTGTGTTGTGTGTATTCAACTCACAGAGTGGAACCTTCCTTTATTCAGAGCAGTTTTGAAAAACACTTTTTGTGGAATTTGCAAGTGGAGATTTCAAGCGATTTGACGTCAATCTTAGACATGGAAATATCTTCATATTAAAAGTACACAGAGTCATTCGTAGAAACTAGTTTGTGATGTGTGCCTTCAACTCACAGAGTTTAACCTTTCTTTTCATAGAGCAGTTTGGAAACACTCTATTTGTAAAGTCTGCAAGTGGATATTTGGACCTCTTTGAGGCCTTCGTTGGAAACGGGATTTCTTCATACAACGCTAGACAGAAGAATTCTCAGTAACTTCTTTGTGTTGTGTGTATTCAACTCACAGAGTTGAACCTTTCTTTAGAGAGAGCAGAGTTGAAACACTCTGTTTTTGGAATTTGCAACTGCAGATTTCAAGCGATTCTAGGCCTATGGCAGAAAAGGAAATATCTTCGTATAAAAAACTACACAGAATCATTCTCAACAACTACTTTGTGATGTGTGCGTTCAACTCACAGAGTTTAACCTTTCTTTTCATAGAGCAGTTTGGAAACACTCTGTTTGTAAAGCCTGCAAGTGCTTTTTTGGACTTCATTGAGGCCTTCGTTGGAAACGGGATTTCTTCATATAATGCTAGACAGAAGAATTCTCAGTCACTTCTTTGTGTTGTGTGTATTCAAGTCACAGAGTTGAACCTTCCTTTAGACAGAGCAGTTTTGAAAAATTCTTTCTGTGGAGTTTGCAAGTGGAGATTTCAAGCGATTTGAGGCTAATCTTTGAAATGGAAATATCTTCGTGTAAAAACTACACAGAATCATTCTCAGAAACTGCTTTGTCATCTGTGCGTTCAGTTCACAGAGTTTCACCTTTCTCTTCATAGAGCAGTTTGGAAAGACTCTGTCTGTAAAGTCTGCAAGTGATTAGTTAGACCCCTTTGAGGCCTTCGTTGGAAGCGGGATTTCTCATTTACTGCTAGACAGAAGAATTCTCAGTAAATCCTTTGTGTTGTGTGTATTCAACTCACAGAGTGGAACCTTCCTTTATTCAGAGCAGTTTTGAAACACTCTTTTTGTGGAATTTGCAAGTGGAGATTTCAAGCGATTTGACGCCAATCTTAGACATGGAAATATCTTCATATTAAAAGTACACAGAGTCATTCGTAGAAACTAGTTTGTGATGTGTGCCTTCAACTCACAGAGTTTAACCTTTCTTTTCATAGAGCAGTTGGGAAACACTGTATTTGTAAAGTCTGCAAGTGGATATTTGGACCTCTTTGAGGCCTTCGTTGGAAACGGGATTTCTTCATATAACGCTAGACAGAAGAATTCTCAGTAACTTCTTTGTGTTATGTGTATTCAACTCACAGAGTTGAACCTTTCTTTAGAGGGAGCAGAGGTGAAACACTCTTTTTGTGGAATTTGCTAGTGCAGATTTCAAACGCTTCGAAGACAGTGATAGAAAAGGATATATCTTCGTATTAAAAGTAGACAAAATCATTCTCAGAAAACTCTTTGTGATGTGTGTGTTCAACTCACAGAGTTTAACCTTTCTTTAATCGAGCAGTTTGGAAATACACTCTTTGTAAGTCTGCAGGTGGATATTTGGCCCTCTTTGAGCCCTTCGTTGGAAACGGGATTTCCTCATATAATGCTAGACAGAAGAATTCTCAGTAACTTCTTTGTGTTGTTTGTATTCAACTCAAAGAGTTGAACCTTTCTTTAGAGAGAGCAGAGTTGAAACACTCTGTTTTTGGAATTTGCAAGTGCAGATTTCAAGGGCTTCTAGGCCTATGGCAGAAAAGGAAATATCTTCGTATAAAAACTACGCAGAATCATTCTCAACAACTACTTTGTGATGTGTGCGTTCAACTCACAGAGTTTAACCTTTCTTTTCATAGAGCAGTTTGGAAACACTCTGTTTGTAAAGCCTGCAAGTGCTTTTTTGGACTTCATTGAGGCCTTCGTTGGAAACGGGATTTCTTCATATAATGCTAGACAGAAGAATTCTCAGTCACTTCTTTGTGTTGTGTGTATTCAAGTCACAGAGTTGAACCTTCCTTTAGACAGAGCAGTTTTGAAAAATTCTTTCTGTGGAGTTTGCAAGTGGAGATTTCAAGCGATTTGAGGCTAATCTTTGAAATGGAAATATCTTCGTGTAAAAACTACACAGAATCATTCTCAGTAACTGCTTTGTTATGTGTGCGTTCAGCTCACAGAGTTCCACCTTTCTTTTCATAGAGCAGTTTGGAAAGACTCTGTCTGTAAAGTCTGCAAGTGATTACTTGGACCCCTTTGAGGACTTCGTTGGAAGCGGGGTTTTTTCATTTACTGCTATACAGAAGAATTCTCAGTAAATCCTTTGTGTTGTGTGTATTCAACTCACAGAGTGGAACCTTCCTTTATTCAGAGCAGTTTTGAAACACTCTTTTTGTGGAATTTGCAAGTGGAGATTTCAAGCGATTTGACGCCAATCTTAGACATGGAAATATCTTCATATTAAAAGTACACAGGAGTCATTCGTAGAAACTAGTTTGTGATGTGTGCCTTCAACTCACAGAGTTTAACCTTTCTTTTCATAGAGCAGTTTGGAAACACTCTATTTGTAAAGTCTGCAAGTGGATATTTGGACCTCTTTGAGGCCTTCGTTGGAAACGGGATTTCTTCATATAACGCTAGACAGAAGAATTCTCAGTAACTTCTTTGTGTTGTGTGTATTCAACTCACAGAGTTGAACCTTTCTTTAGAGGGAGCAGAGGTGAAACACTCTTTTTGTGGAATTTGCTAGTGTAGATTTCAAACGCTTCGAAGACAGTGATAGAAAAGGATATATCTTCGTATTAAAAGTAGACAAAATCATTCTCAGAAAACTCTTTGTGATGTGTGTGTTCAACTCACAGAGTTTAACCTTTCTTTAATCGAGCAGTTTGGAAATACACTCTTTGTAAGTCTGCAGGTGGATATTTGGCCCTCTTTGAGCCCTTCGTTGGAAACGGGATTTCCTCATATAATGCTAGACAGAAGAATTCTCAGTAACTTCTTTGTGTTGTTTGTATTCAACACACAGATTTGAACCTTCATTTAGAGAGAGCAGATTTGAAACACTCTGTTTTTGGAATTTGCAAGTGCAGATTTCAAGCGCTTCTAGGCCTATGGCAGAAAAGGAAATATCTTCGTATAAAAACTACACAGAATCATTCTCAACAACTACTTTGTGATGTGTGCGTTCAACTCACAGAGTTTAACCTTTCTTTTCATAGAGCAGTTTGGAAACACTCTGTTTGTAAAGCCTGCAAGTGCTTTTTTGGACTTCATTGAGGCCTTCGTTGGAAACGGGATTTCTTCATATAATGCTAGACAGAAGAATTCTCAGTCACTTCTTTGTGTTGTGTGTATTCAAGTCACAGAGTTGAACCTTCCTTTAGACAGAGCAGTTTTGAAAAATTCTTTCTGTGGAGTTTGCAAGTGGAGATTTCAAGCGATTTGAGGCTAATCTTTGAAATGGAAATATCTTCGTGTAAAAACTACACAGAATCATTCTCAGAAACTGCTTTGTCATCTGTGCGTTCAGTTCACAGAGTTTCACCTTTCTCTTCATAGAGCAGTTTGGAAAGACTCTGTCTGTAAAGTCTGCAAGTGATTAGTTAGACCCCTTTGAGGCCTTCGTTGGAAGCGGGATTTCTCATTTACTGCTAGACAGAAGAATTCTCAGTAAATCCTTTGTGTTGTGTGTATTCAACTCACAGAGTGGAACCTTCCTTTATTCAGAGCAGTTTTGAAAAACACTTTTTGTGGAATTTGCAAGTGGAGATTTCAAGCGATTTGACGCCAATCTTAGACATGGAAATATCTTCATATTAAAAGTACACAGAGTCATTCGTAGAAACTAGTTTGTGATGTGTGCCTTCAACTCACAGAGATTAACCTTTCTTTTCATAGAGCAGTTTGGAAACACTCTATTTGTAAAGTCTGCAAGTGGATATTTGGACCTCTTTGAGGCCTTCGTTGGAAACGGGATTTCTTCATACAACGCTAGACAGAAGAATTCTCAGTAACTTCTTTGTGTTGTTTGTATTCAACTCACAGATTTGAACCTTCCTTTAGAGAGAGCAGATTTGAAACACTCTGTTTTTGGAATTTGCAAGTGCAGATTACAAGCGCTTCTAGGCCTATGGCAGAAAAGGAAATATCTTCGTATAAAAACTACACAGAATCATTCTCAACAACTACTTTGTGATGTGTGCGTTCAACTCACAGAGTTTAACCTTTCTTTTCATAGAGCAGTTTGGAAACACTCTGTTTGTAAAGTCTGCAGGTGCTTATTTGGACTTCTTTGAGGCCTTCGTTGGAAACGGGATTTCTTCATATAATGCTAGACAGAAGAATTCTCAGTCACTTCTTTGTGTTGTGTGTATTCAAGTCACAGAGTTGAACCTTCCTTTACACAGAGCAGTTTTGAAAAACTCTTTCTGTGGAATTTGCAAGTGGAGATTTCAAGCGATTTGAGGCTAATCTTTGAAATGGAAATAGCTTCGTGTAAAAACTACACAGAATCATTCTCAGAAACTGCTTTGTTATGTGTGCGTTCAGCTCACAGAGTTCCACCTTTCTTTTCATAGAGCAGTTTGGAAAGACTCTGTCTGTAAAGTCTGCAAGTGATTACTTGGACCCCTTTGAGGACTTCGTTGGAAGCGGGATTTTTTCATTTACTGCTAGACAGAAGAATTCTCAGTAAATCCTTTGTGTTGTGTGTATTCAACTCACAGAGTGGAACCTTCCTTTATTCAGAGCACTTTTGAAACACTCTTTTTGTGGAATTTGCAAGTGGAGATTTCAAGCGAATTCACGCCAATCTTAGACATGGAAACATCTTCGTATTAAAAGTACACAGAGTCATTCGCAGAAACTAGTTTGTGATGTGTGCCTTCAACTCACGGAGTTTAACCTTTCTTTTCATAGAGCAGTTTGGAAACACTCTATTTGTAAAGTCTGCAAGTGGATATTTGGACCTCTTTGAGGCCTTCGTTGGAAACGGGATTTCTTCATATAACGCTAGACAGAAGAATTCTCAGTAACTTCTTTGTGTTGTGTGTATTCAACTCACAGAGTTGAACCTTTCTTGAGAGAGAGCCGAGTTGAAACACTCTTTCTGTGGAATTTGCTAGTGCAGATTTCAAACGCTTCGAAGACAGTGATAGAAAAGGATATATCTTCGTATTAAAACTAGACAAAATCATTCTCAGAAAACACTTTGTGATGTGTGTGTTCAACTCACAGAGTTTAACCTTTCTTTAATCGAGCAGTTTGGAAATACACTCTTTGTAAGTCTGCAGCTGGATAATTGTCCCTCTATGAGCCCTTCGTTGGAAACGGGATTTCCTCTTATAATGCTAGACAGAAGAATTCTCAGTAACTTCTTTGTGTTGTTTGTATTCAACTCACAGATTTGAACCTTCCTTTAGAGAGAGCAGATTTGAAACACTCTGTTTTTGGAATTTGCAAGTGCAGATTACAAGCGCTTCTAGGCCTATGGCAGAAAAGGAAATATCTTCGTATAAAAACTACACAGAATCATTCTCAACAACTACTTTGTGATGTGTGCGTTCAACTCACAGAGTTTAACCTTTCTTTTCATAGAGCAGTTTGGAAACACTCTGTTTGTAAAGTCTGCAGGTGCTTATTTGGACTTCTTTGAGGCCTTCGTTGGAAACGGGATTTCTTCATGTAATGCTAGACAGAAGAATTCTCAGTCACTTCTTTGTGTTGTGTGTATTCAAGTCACAGAGTTGAACCTTCCTTTACACAGAGCAGTTTTGAAAAACTCTTTCTGTGGAATTTGCAAGTGGAGATTTCAATCGATTTGAGGCTAATCTTTGAAATGGAAATAGCTTCGTGTAAAAACCACACAGAATCATTCTCAGAAACTGCTTTGTTATGTGTGCGTTCAGCTCACAGAGTTCCACCTTTCTTTTCATAGAGCAGTTTGGAAAGACTCTGTCTGTAAAGTCTGCAAGTGATTACTTGGACCCCTTTGAGGACTTCGTTGGAAGCGGGATTTTTTCATTTACTGCTAGACAGAAGAATTCTCAGTAAATCCTTTGTGTTGTGTGTATTCAACTCACAGAGTGGAACCTTCCTCTATTCAGAGCTGTTTTGAAACATTCTTTTTGTGGAATTTGCAGGTGGAGATTTCAAGCGAATTCACGCCAATCTTAGACATGGAAACATCTTCGTATTAAAAGTACACAGAGTCATTCGCAGAAACTAGTTTGTGATGTGTGCCTTCAACTCACGGAGTTTAACCTTTCTTTTCATAGAGCAGTTTGGAAACACTCTATCTGTAAAGTCTGCAAGTGGATATTTGGACCTCTTTGAGGCCTTCGTTGGAAACGGGATTTCTTCATATAACGCTAGACAGAAGAATTCTCAGTAACTTCTTTGTGTTGTGTGTATTCCACTCACAGAGTTGAACCTTTCTTGAGAGAGAGCAGAGTTGAAACACTCTTTCTGTGGAATTTGCTAGTGCAGATTTCAAACGCTTCGAAGACAGTGATAGAAAAGGATATATCTTCGTATTAAAACTAGACAAAATCATTCTCAGAAAACACTTTGTGATGTGTGTGTTCAACTCACAGAGTTTAACCTTTCTTTAATCGAGCAGTTTGGAAATACACTCTTTGTAAGTCTGCAGCTGGATAATTGTCCCTCTATGAGCCCTTCGTTGGAAACAGGATTTCCTCTTATAATGCTAGACAGAAGAATTCTCAGTAACTTCTTTGTGTTGTTTGTATTCAACTCACAGATTTGAACCTTCCTTTAGAGAGAGCAGATTTGAAACACTCTGTTTTTGGAATTTGCAAGTGCAGATTACAAGCGCTTCTAGGCCTATGGCAGAAAAGGAAATATCTTCGTATAAAAACTACACAGAAATCATTCTCAACAACTACTTTGTGATGTGTGCGTTCAACTCACAGAGTTTAACCTTTCTTTTCATAGAGCAGTTTGGAAACACTCTGTTTGTAAAGTCTGCAGGTGCTTATTTGGACTTCTTTGAGGCCTTCGTTGGAAACGGGATTTCTTCATATAATGCTAAACAGAGAATTCTCAGTCACTTCTTTGTGTTGTGTGTATTCAAGTCACAGAGTTGAACCTTCCTTTACACAGAGCAGTTTTGAAAAACTCTTTCTGTGGAATTTGCAAGTGGAGATTTCAAGCGATTTGAGGCTAATCTTTGAAATGGAAATAGCTTCGTGTAAAAACTACACAGAATCATTCTCAGAAACTGCTTTGTTATGTGTGCGTTCAGCTCACAGAGTTCCACCTTTCTTTTCATAGAGCAGTTTGGAAAGACTCTGTCTGTAAAGTCTGCAAGTGATTACTTGGACCCCTTTGAGGACTTCGTTGGAAGCGGGATTTTTTCATTTACTGCTAGACAGAAGAATTCTCAGTAAATCCTTTGTGTTGTGTGTATTCAACTCACAGAGTGGAACCTTCCTTTATTCAGAGCACTTTTGAAACACTCTTTTTGTGGAATTTGCAAGTGGAGATTTCAAGCGAATTCACGCCAATCTTAGACATGGAAACATCTTCGTATTAAAAGTACACAGAGTCATTCGCAGAAACTAGTTTGTGATGTGTGCCTTCAACTCACGGAGTTTAACCTTTCTTTTCATAGAGCAGTTTGGAAACACTCTATTTGTAAAGTCTGCAAGTGGATATTTGGACCTCTTTGAGGCCTTCGTTGGAAACGGGATTTCTTCATATAACGCTAGACAGAAGAATTCTCAGTAACTTCTTTGTGTTGTGTGTATTCAACTCACAGAGTTGAACCTTTCTTGAGAGAGAGCAGAGTTGAAACACTCTGTTTGTGGAATTTGCTAGTGCAGATCAAACGCTTCGAAGACAGTGATAGAAAAGGATATATCTTCGTATTAAAACTAGACAAAATCATTCTCTACAACTACTTTGTGATGTGTGCATTCAACTCACAGAGTTTAACCTTTCTTTTCATAGAGCAGTTTGGAAACACTCTGTTTGTAAAGTCTGCAGGTGCTTATTTGGACTTCTTTGAGGCCTTCGTTGGAAACGGGATTTCTTCATATAATGCTAGACAGAAGAATTCTCAGTCACTTCTTTGTGTTGTGTGTATTCAAGTCACAGAGTTGAACCTTCCTTTACACAGAGCAGTTTTGAAAAACTCTTTCTGTGGAATTTGCAAGTGGAGATTTCAAGCGATTTGAGGCTAATCTTTGAAATGGAAATATCTTCGTGTAAAAACTACACAGAATCATTCTCAGAAACTGCTTTGTTATGTGTGCGTTCAGCTCACAGAGTTCCACCTTTCTTTTCATAGAGCAGTTTGGAAAGACTCTGTCTGTAAAGTCTGCAAGTGATTACTTGGACCCCTTTGAGGACTTCGTTGGAAGCGGGATTTTTTCATTTACTGCTAGACAGAAGAATTCTCAGTAAATCCTTCGTGTTGTGTGTATTCAACTCACAGAGTGGAACCTTCCTTTATTCAGAGCAGTTTTGAAACACTCTTTTTGTGGAATTTGCAAGTGGAGATTTCAAGCGAATTCACGCCAATCTTAGACATGGAAACATCTTCGTATTAAAAGTACACAGAGTCATTCGCAGAAACTAGTTTGTGATGTGTGCCTTCAACTCACAGAGTTTAACCTTTCTTTTCATAGAGCATTTTGGAAACACTCTATTTGTAAAGTCTGCAAGTGGATATTTGGACCTCTTTGAGGCCTTCGTTGGAAACGGGATTTCTTCATGTAACGCTAGACAGAAGAATTCTCTGTAACTTCTTTGTGTTGTGTGTATTCCACTCACAGAGTTGAACCTTTCTTGAGAGAGAGCAGAGTGGAAACACTCTGTTTGTGGAATTTGCTAGTGCAGATTTCAAACGCTTCGAAGACAGTGATAGAAAAGGATATATCTTCGTATTAAAACTAGACAAAATCATTCTCAGAAAACACTTTGTGATGTGTGTGTTCAACTCACAGAGTTTAACCTTTCTTTAATCGAGCAGTTTGGAAATACACTCTTTGTAAGTCTGCAGCTGGATAATTGTCCCTCTATGAGCCCTTCGTTGGAAACGGGATTTCCTCTTATAATGCTAGACAGAAGAATTCTCATTAACTTCTTTCTGTTGTTTGTATTCAACTCACAGATTTGAACCTTCCTTTAGAGAGAGCAGATTTGAAACACTCTGTTCTTGGAATTTGCAAGTGCAGATTTCAAGCGCTTCTAGGCCTATGGCAGAAAAGGAAATATCTTCGTATAAAAACTACACAGAATCATTCTCAACAACTACTTTGTGAAGTGCGCGTTCAACTCACAGAGTTTAACCTTTCTTTTCATAGAGCAGTTTGGAAACAGTCTGTTTGTAATGTCTGCAGGTGCTTATTTGGACTTCTTTGAGGCCTTCGTTGGAAACGTGATTTCTTCATATACTGCTAGACAGAAGAATTCTCAGTCACTTCTTTGTGTTGTGTGTATTCAAGTCACAGAGTTGAACCTTCCTTTACACAGAGCAGTTTTGAAAAACTCTTTCTGTGGAATTTGCAAGTGGAGATTTCAAGCGATTTGAGGCTAATCTTTGAAATGGAAATATCTTCGTGTAAAAACTACACAGAATCATTCTCAGAAACTGCTTTGTTATGTGTGCGTTCAGCTCACAGAGTTCCACCTTTCTTTTCATAGAGCAGTTTGGAAAGACTCTGTAAAGTCTGCAAGTGATTACTTGGACCCCTTTGAGGACTTCGTTGGAAGCGGGATTTTTTCATTTACTGCTAGACAGAAGAATTCTCAGTAAATCCTTTGTGTTGTGTGTATTCAACTCACAGAGTGGAACCTTCCTTTATTCAGAGCAGTTTTGAAACACTCTTTTTGTGGAATTTGCAAGTGGAGATTTCAAGCGAATTCACGCCAATCTTAGACATGGAAACATCTTCGTATTAAAAGTACACAGAGTCATTCGCAGAAACTAGTTTGTGATGTGTGCGTTCAACTCACAGAGTTTAACTTTTCTTTTCATAGAGCAGTTTGGAAACACTCTGTTTGTAAAGTCTGCAGGTGCTTATTTGGACTTCTTTGAGGCCTTCGTTGGATACGGGATTTCTTCATATAATGCTAGACAGAAGAATTCTCAGTCACTTCTTTGTGTTGTGTGTATTCAAGTCACAGAGTTGAACCTTCCTTTACACAGAGCAGTTTTGAAAAACTCTTTCTGTGGAATTTGCAAGTGGAGATTTCAAGCGATTTGAGGCTAATCTTTGAAATGGAAATAGCTTCGTGTAAAAACTACACAGAATCATTCTCAGAAACTGCTTTGTTATGTGTGCGTTCAGCTCACAGAGTTCCACCTTTCTTTTCTTAGAGCAGTTTGGAAAGACTCTGTCTGTAAAGTCTGCAAGTGATTACTTGGACCCCTTTGAGGACTTCGTTGGAAGCGGGATTTTTTCATTTACTGCTAGACAGAAGAATTCTCAGTAAATCCTTTGTGTTGTGTGTATTCAACTCACAGAGTGGAACCTTCCTTTATTCAGAGCAGTTTTGAAACACTCTTTTTGTGGAATTTGCAAGTGGAGATTTCAAGCGAATTCACGCCAATCTTAGACATGGAAACATCTTCGTATTAAAAGTACACAGAGTCATTCGCAGAAACTAGTTTGTGATGTGTGCCTTCAACTCACGGAGTTTAACCTTTCTTTTCATAGAGCAGTTTGGAAACACTCTATTTGTAAAGTCTGCAAGTGGATATTTGGACCTCTTTGAGGCCTTCGTTGGAAACGGGATTTCTTCATATAACGCTAGACAGAAGAATTCTCAGTAACTTCTTTGTGTTGTGTGTATTCCACTCACAGAATTGAACCTTTCTTGAGAGAGAGCAGAGTTGAAACACTCTTTCTGTGGAGTTTGCTAGTGCAGATTTCAAACGCTTCGAAGACAGTGATAGAAAAGGATATATCTTCGTATTAAAACTAGACAAAATCATTCTCAACAACTACTTTGTGATGTGTGCGTTCAACTCACAGAGTTTAACCTTTCTTTTCATAGAGCAGTTTGGAAACACTCTGTTTGTAAAGCCTGCAAGTGCTTTTTTGGACTTCATTGAGGCCTTCGTTGGAAACGGGATTTCTTCATATAATGCTAGACAGAAGAATTCTCAGTCACTTCTTTGTGTTGTGTGTATTCAAGTCACAGAGTTGAACCTTCCTTTAGACAGAGCAGTTTTGAAAAATTCTTTCTGTGGAGTTTGCAAGTGGAGATTTCAATCGATTTGAGGCTAATCTTTGAAATGGAAATATCTTCGTGTAAAAACTACACAGAATCATTCTCAGAAACTGCTTTGTCATCTGTGCGTTCAGTTCACAGAGTTTCACCTTTCTCTTCATAGAGCAGTTTGGAAAGACTCTGTCTGTAAAGTCTGCAAGTGATTAGTTAGACCCCTTTGAGGCCTTCGTTGGAAGCGGGATTTCTCATTTACTGCTAGACAGAAGAATTCTCAGTAAATCCTTTGTGTTGTGTGTATTCAACTCACAGAGTGGAACCTTCCTTTATTCAGAGCAGTTTTGAAAAACACTTTTTGTGGAATTTGCAAGTGGAGATTTCAAGCGATTTGACGCCAATCTTAGACATGGAAATATCTTCATATTAAAAGTACACAGAGTCATTCGTAGAAACTAGTTTGTGATGTGTGCCTTCAACTCACAGAGTTTAACCTTTCTTTTCATAGAGCAGTTTGGAAACACTCTATTTGTAAAGTCTGCAAGTGGATATTTGGACCTCTTTGAGGCCTTCGTTGGAAACGGGATTTCTTCATATAACGCTAGACAGAAGAATTCTCAGTAACTTCTTTGTGTTGTGTGTATTCAACTCACCGAGTTGAACCTTTCTTTAGAGAGAGCAGAGTTGAAACACTCTTCTTGTGGAATTTGCTAGTGCAGATTTCAAACGCTTCGAAGACAGTGATAGCAAAGGATATATCTTCGTATTAAAACTAGACAAAATCATTCTCAACAACTACTTTGTGATGTGTGCGTTCAACTCACAAAGTTTAACCTTTCTTTTCATAGAGCAGTTTGGAAACACTCTGTTTGTAAAGCCTGCAATTGCTTTTTTGGACTTCATTGAGGCCTTCGTTGGAAAGGGGATTTCTTCATATAATGCTAGACAGAAGAATTCTCAGTAAATCCTTTGTGTTGTGTGTATTCAACTCACAGAGTGAAACCTTCCTTTATTCAGAGCAGTTTTGAAAAACTCTTTTTGTGGAATTTGCAAGTGGAGATTTCAAGCGATTTGACGCCAATCTTAGACATGGAAATATCTTCATATTAAAAGTACACAGAGTCATTCGTAGAAACTAGGTTGTGATGTGTGCCTTCAACTCACAGAGTTTAACCTTTCTTTTCATACAGCAGTTCGGAAACACTCTATTTGTAAAGTCTGCAAGTGGATATTTGGACCTCTTTGAGGCCTTCGTTGGAAACGGGATTTCTTCATATAACGCTAGAAAGAAGAATTCTCAGTAAATTCTTTGTGTTGTGTGTATTCAACTCACAGAGTTAAACCTTTCTTTAGAGAGAGCAGATTTGACAGACTCTTTTTGTGGAATTTGCTGGTGCAGATTTCAAACGCTTCGAAGACAATGATAGAAAAGGATATATCTTCGTATTAAAACTAGACAAAATCATTCTCAGAAAACTCTTTGTGATGTGTGTGTTCAACTCACAGAGTTTAACCTTTCTTTAATCGAGCAGTTTGGAAATACACTCTTTGTAAGTCTGCAGGTGGATAATTGTCCCTCTTTGAGCCCTTCGTTGGAAACGGGATTTCCTCATATAATGCTAGACAGAAGAATTCTCAGTAACTTCTTTGTGTTGTTTGTATTCAACTCACAGATTTGAACCTTCCTTTAGAGAGAGCAGATTTGAAACACTCTGTTTTTGGAATTTGCAAGTGCAGATTTCAAGCGCTTCTAGGCCTATGGCAGAAAAGGAAATATCTTCGTATAAAAACTGCACAGAGTCGTTCGCAGAAACTAGTTTGTGATGTGTGCCTTCAACTCACAGAGTTTAAGCTTTCTTTTCATAGAGCAGTTTGGAAACACTCTATTTGTAAAGTCTGCAAGTGGATATTTGGACCTCTTTGAGGCCTTCGTTGGAAACGGGATTTCTTCATATAACGCTAGACAGAAGAATTCTCTGTAACTTCTTTGTGTTGTGTGTATTCCACTCACAGAGTTGAACCTTTCTTGAGAGAGAGCAGAGTTGAAACACTCTTTCTGTGGAATTTGCTAGTGCAGATTTCAAACGCTTCGAAGACAGTGACAGAAAAGGATATATCTTCGTATTAAAACTAGACAAAATCATTCTCAGAAAACACTTTGTGATGTGTGTGTTCAACTCACAGAGTTTAACCTTTCTTTAATCGAGCAGTTTGGAAATGCACTCTTTGTAAGTCTGCAGGTGGATAATTGTCCCTCTATGAGCCCTTCGTTGGAAACGGGATTTCCTCATATAATGCTAGACAGAAGAATTCTCAGTAACTTCTTTGTGTTGTTTGTATTCAACTCACAGATTTGAACTTTCCTTTAGAGAGAGGAGATTTGAAACACTCTGTTTTTGGAAATTGTAAGTGCAGATTACAAGCGCTTCTAGGCCTATGGCAGAAAAGGAAATATCTTCGTGTAAAAACTACACAGAATCATTCTCAACAACTACTTTGTGATGTGTGCGTTCAACTCACAGAGTTTAACGTTTCTTTTCATAGAGCAGTTTGGAAACACTCTGTTTGTAAAGCCTGCAAGTGCTTTTTTGGACTTCATTGAGGCCTTCGTTGGAAACGGGATTTCTTCATATAATGCTAGACAGAGGAATTCTCAGTCACTTCTTTGTGTTGTGTGTATTCAAGTCACAGAGTTGAACCTTCCTTTACACAGAGCAGTTTTGAAAAACTCTTCCTGTGGAATTTGCAAGTGGAGATTTCAAGCGATTTGAGGCTAATCTTTGAAATGGAAATATCTTCGTGTAAAATCTACACAGAATCATTGTCAGAAACTGCTTTGTTATGTGTGCGTTCAGCTCACAGAGTTCCACCTTTCTTTTCATAGAGCAGTTTGGAAAGACTCTGTCTGTAAAGTCTGCAAGTGATTACTTGGACCCCTTTGAGGACTTCGTTGGAAGCGGGATTTTTTCATTTACTGCTAGACAGAAGAATTCTCAAGTAAATCCTTTGTGTTGTGTGTATTCAACTCACAGAGTGGAACCTTCCTTTATTCAGAGCAGTTTTGAAACACTCTTTTTGTGGAATTTGCAAGTGGAGATTTCAAGCGAATTCACGCCAATCTTAGACATGGAAACATCTTCGTATTAAAAGTACACAGAGTCATTCGTAGAAACTAGTTTGTGATGTGTGCCTTCAACTCACAGAGTTTAACCTTTCTTTTCATAGAGCAGTTTGGAAACACTCTATTTGTAAAGTCTGCAAGTGGATATTTGGACCTCTTTGAGGCCTTCGTTGGAAACAGGATTTCTTCATACAACGCTAGACAGAAGAATTCTCAGTAACTTCTTTGTGTTGTGTGTATTCAACTCACAGAGTTGAACCTTTCTTTAGAGAGAGCAGAGTTGAAACACTCTGTTTTTGGAATTTGCAAGTGCAGATTTCAAGCGATTCTAGGCCTATGGCAGAAAAGGAAATATCTTCGTATAAAAACTACACAGAATCATTCTCAACAACTACTCTGTGATGTGTGCGTTCAACTCACAAAGTTTAACCTTTCTTTTCATAGAGAAGTTTGGAAACACTCTGTTTGTAAAGCCTGCAAGTGCTTTTTTGGACTTCATTGAGGCCTTCGTTGGAAACGGGATTTCTTCATATAATGCTAGACAGAAGAATTCTCAGTAAATCTTTGGGTTGTGTTTATTCAACTCACAGAGTGGAACCTTCCTTTATTCAGAGCAGTTTTGAAACACTCTTTTTGTGGAATTTGCAAGTGGAGATTTCAAGCGATTTGACTCCAATCTTAGACATGGAAATATCTTCATATTAAAAGTACACAGAGTCATTCGTAGAAACTAGATTGTGATGTGTGCCTTCAACTCACAGAGTTTAACCTTTCTTTTCATAGAGCAGTTCGGAAACACTCTATTTGTAAAGTCTGCAAGTGGATATTTGGACCTCTTTGAGGCCTTCATTGGAAACGGGATTTCTTCATATAACGCTAGACAGAAGAATTTTCAGTAACTTCTTTGTGTTGTGTATATTCAACTCACAGAGTTGAACCTTTCTTTAGAGAGAGCAGAGTTGAAACACTCTTTTTGTGGAATTTGCTAGTGCAGATTTCAAACGCTTCGAAGACAGTGATAGCAAAGGATATATCTTCGTATTAAAACTTGACAAAATCATTCTCAGAAAACACTTTGTGATGTGTGTGTTCAACTCACAGAGTTTAACCTTTCTTTAATCGAGCAGTTTGGAAATACACTCTTTGTAAGTCTGCAGGTGGATAATTGGCCCTCTTTGAGCCCTTCGTTGGAAACGGGATTTCCTCATATAATGCTAGACAGAAGAATTCTCAGTAACTTCTTTGTGTTGTTTGTATTCAACTCACAGATTTGAACCTTCCTTTAGAGAGAGCACATTTGAAACACTCTGTTTTTGGAATTTGCAAGTGCAGATTTCAAGCGCTTCTAGGCCTATGGCAGAAAAGGAAATATCTTCGTATAAAAACTACACAGAATCATTCTCAACAACTACTTTGTGATGTGTGCGTTCAACTCACAGAGTTTAACCTTTCTTTTCATAGAGCAGTTTGGAAACACTCTGTTTGTAAAGCCTGCAAGTGCTTTTTTGGACTTCATTGAGGCCTTCGTTGGAAACGGGATTTCTTCATATAATGCTAGACAGAAGAATTCTCAGTCACTTCTTTGTGTTGTGTGTATTCAAGTCACCAAGTTGAACCTTCCTTTAGACAGAGCAGTTTTGAAAAATTCTTTCTGTGGAGTTTGCAAGTGGAGATTTCAAGCGATTTGAGGCTAATCTTTGAAATGGAAATATCTTCGTGTAAAAACTACACAGAAGCATTCTCAGAAACTGCTTTGTCATCTGTGCGTTCAGTTCACAGAGTTTCACCTTTCTCTTCATAGAGCAGTTTGGAAAGACTCTGTCTTTAAAGTCTGCAAGTGATTAGTTAGACCCCTTTGAGGCCTTCGTTGGAAGCGGGATTTCTCATTTACTGCTAGACAGAAGAATTCTCAGTAAATCCTTTGTGTTGTGTGTATTCAACTCACAGAGTGGAACCTTCCTTTATTCAGAGCAGTTTTGAAAAACACTTTTTGTGGAATTTGCAAGTGGAGATTTCAAGCGATTTGACGCCAATCTTAGACATGGAAATATCTTCATATTAAAAGTACACAGAGTCATTCGTAAAAACTAGTTTGTGATGTGTGCCTTCAACTCACAGAGTTTAACCTTTCTTTTCATAGAGCAGTTTGGAAACACTCTATTTGTAAAGTCTGCAAGTGGATATTTGGACCTCTTTGAGGCCTTCGTTGGAAACGGGATTTCTTCATACAACGCTAGACAGAAGAATTCTCAGTAACTTCTTTGTGTTGTGTGTATTCAACTCACAGAGTTGAACCTTTCTTTAGAGAGAGCAGAGTTGAAACACTCTGTTTTTGGAATTTGCAAGTGCAGATTTCAAGCGCTTCTAGGCCTATGGCAGAAAAGGAAATATCTTCGTATAAAAACTACACAGAATCATTCTCAACAACTACTTTGTGATGTGTGCGTTCAACTCACAGAGTTTAACCTTTCTTTTCATAGAGCAGTTATGAAACACTCTGTTTGTAAAGCCTGCAAGTGCTTTTTTGGACTTCATTGAGGCCTTCGTTGGAAACGGGATTTCTTCATATAATGCTAGACAGAGGAATTCTCAGTCACTTCTTTGTGTTGTGTGTATTCAAGTCACAGGGTTGAACCTTCCTTTAGACAGAGCAGTTTTGAAAAATTCTTTCTGTGGAGTTTGCAAGTGGAGATTTCAAGCGATTTGAGGCTAATCTTTGAAATGGAAATATCTTCGTGTAAAAACTACACAGAAGCATTCTCAGAAACTGCTTTGTCATCTGTGCGTTCAGTTCACAGAGTTTCACCTTTCTCTTCATAGAGCAGTTTGGAAAGACTCTGTCTGTAAAGTCTGCAAGTGATTAGTTAGACCCCTTTGAGGCCTTCGTTGGAAGCGGGATTTCTCATTTACTGCTAGACAGAAGAATTCTCAGTAAATCCTTTGTGTTGTGTGTATTCAACTCACAGAGTGGAACCTTCCTTTATTCAGAGCAGTTTTGAAAAACACTTTTTGTGGAATTTGCAAATGGAGATTTCAACCGATTTGACGGCAATCTTAGACATGGAAATATCTTCATATTAAAAGTACACAGAGTCATTCGTAGAAACTAGTTTGTGATGTGTGCCTTCAACTCACAGAGTTTAACCTTTCTTTTCATAGAGCAGTTTGGAAACACTCTATTTGTAAAGTCTGCAAGTGGATATTTGGACCTCTTTGAGGCCTTCGTTGGAAACGGGATTTCTTCATACAACGCTAGACAGAAGAATTCTCAGTAACTTCTTTGTGTTGTGTGTATTCAACTCACAGAGTTGAACCTTTCTTTAGAGAGAGCAGAGTTGAAACACTCTGTTTTTGGAATTTGCAAGTGCAGATTTCAAGCGATTCTAGGCCTATGGCAGAAAAGGAAATATCTTCGTATAAAAACTACACAGAATCATTCTCAACAACTACTTTGTGATGTGTGCGTTCAACTCACAGAGTTTAACCTTTCTTTTCATAGAGCAGTTTGGAAACACTCTGTTTGTAAAGCCTGCAAGTGCTTCTTTGGACTTCATTGAGGCCTTCGTTGGAAACGGGATTTCTTCATATAATGCTAGACAGAAGAATTCTCAGTCACTTCTTTGTGTTGTGTGTATTCAAGTCACAGAGTTGAACCTTCCTTTAGACAGAGCAGTTTTGAAAAATTCTTTCTGTGGAATTTGCAAGTGGAGATTTCAAGCGATTTGAGGCTAATCTTTGAAATGGAAATATCTTCGTGTAAAAACTACACAGAATCATTCTCAGAAACTGCTTTGTCATCTGTGCGTTCAGTTCACAGAGTTTCACCTTTCTCTTCATACAGCAGTTTGGAAAGACTCTGTCTGTAAAGTCTGCAAGTGATTAGTTAGACCCCTTTGAGGCCTTCGTTGGAAGCGGGATTTCTCATTTACTGCTAGACAGAAGAATTCTCAGTAAATCCTTTGTGTTGTGTGTATTCAACTCACAGAGTGGAACCTTCCTTTATTCAGAGCAGTTTTCAAACACTCTTTTTGTGGAATTTGCAAGTGGAGATTTCAAGCGATTTGACGCCAATCTTAGACATGGAAATATCTTCATATTAAAAGTACACAGAGTCATTCGTAGAAACTAGTTTGTGATGTGTGCCTTCAACTCACAGAGTTTAACCTTTCTTTTCATAGAGCAGTTGGGAAACACTCTATTTGTAAAGTCTGCAAGTGGATATTTGGACCTCTTTGAGGCCTTCGTTGGAAACGGGATTTCTTCATATAACGCTAGACAGAAGAATTCTCAGTAACTTCTTTGTGTTGTGTGTATTCAACTCACAGAGTTGAACCTTTCTTTAGAGGGAGCAGAGGTGAAACAGTCTTTTTGTGGAATTTGCTAGTGTAGATTTCAAACGCTTCGAAGTCAGTGATAGAAAAGGATATATCTTCGTATTAAAAGTAGACAAAATCATTCTCAGAAAACTCTTTGTGATGTGTGTGTTCAACTCACAGAGTTTAACCTTTCTTTAATCGAGCAGTTTGGAAATACACTCTTTGTAAGTCTGCAGGTGGATATTTGGCCCTCTTTGAGCCCTTCTTTGGAAACGGGATTTCCTCTTATAATGCTAGACAGAAGAATTCTCAGTAACTTCTCTGTGTTGCTTGTATTCAACACACAGATTTGAACCTTCCTTTAGAGAGAGCAGATTTGAAACACTCTGTTTTTGGAATTTGCAAGTGCAGATTTCAAGCACTTCTATGCCTATGGCAGAAAAGGAAATATCTTCGTATAAAAACTACACAGAATCATTCTCAACAACTACTTTGTGATGTGTGCGTTCAACTCACAGAGTTTAACCTTTCTTTTCATAGAGCAGTTTGGAAACACTCTGTTTGTAAAGTCTGCAGGTGCTTATTTGGACTTCTTTGAGGCCTTCGTTGGAAACGGGATTTCTTCATATAATGCTAGACAGAAGAATTCTCAGTCACTTCTTTGTGTTGTGTGTATTCAAGTCACAGAGTTGAACCTTCCTTTACACAGAGCAGTTTTGAAAAACTCTTTCTGTGGAATTTGCAAGTGGAGATTTCAAGCGATTTGAGGCTAATCTTTGAAATGGAAATATCTTCGTGTAAAAACTACACAGAATCATTCTCAGAAACTGCTTTGTTATGTGTGCGTTCAGCTCACAGAGTTCCACCTTTCTTTTCATAGAGCAGTTTGGAAAGACTCTGTCTGTAAAGTCTGCAAGTGATTACTTGGACCTCTTTGAGGACTTCGTTGGAAGCGGGATTTTTTCATTTACTGCTAGACAGAAGAATTCTCAGTAAATCCTTTGTGTTGTGTGTATTCAACTCACAGAGTGGAACCTTCCTTTATTCAGAGCAGTTTTGAAACACTCTTTTTGTGGAATTTGCAAGTGGAGATTTCAAGCGAATTCACGCCAATCTTAGACATGGAAACATCTTCGTATTAAAAGTACACAGAGTCATTCGCAGAAACTAGTTTGTGATGTGTGCCTTCAACTCACAGAGTTTAACCTTTCTTTTCATAGAGCAGTTTGGAAACACTCTATTTGTAAAGTCTGCAAGTGGATATTTGGACCTCTTTGAGGCCTTCGTTGGAAACGGGATTTCTTCATATAACGCTAGACAGAAGAATTCTCAGTAACTTCTTTGTGTTGTGTGTATTCCACTCACAGAGTTGAACCTTTCTTGAGAGAGAGCAGAGTTGAAACACTCTTTCTGTGGAATTTGCTAGTGCAGATTTCAAACGCTTCGAAGACAGTGATAGAAAAGGATATATCTTCGTATTAAAACTAGACAAAATCATTCTCAGAAAACACTTTGTGATGTGTGTGTTCAACTCACAGAGTTTAACCTTTCTTTAATCGAGCAGTTTGGAAATACACTCTTTGTAAGTCTGCAGCTGGATAATTGTCCCTCTATGAGCCCTTCGTTGGAAACGGGATTTCCTCTTATAATGCTAGACAGAAGAATTCTCAGTAACTTCTTTGTGTTGTTTGTATTCAACTCACAGATTTGAACCTTCCTTTAGAGAGAGCAGATTTGAAAGACTCTGTTTTTGGAATTTGCAAGTGCAGATTGCAAGCGCTTCTAGGCCTATGGCAGAAAAGGAAATATCTTCGTATAAAAACTACACAGAATCATTCTCAACAACTACTTTGTGATGTGTGCGTTCAACTCACAGAGTTTAACTTTTCTTTTCATAGAGCAGTTTGGAAACACTCTGTTTGTAAAGTCTGCAGGTGCTTATTTGGACTTCTTTGAGGCCTTCGTTGGAAACGGGATTTCTTCATATAATGCTAGACAGAAGAATTCTCAGTCACGTCTTTGTGTTGTGTGTATTCAAGTCACAGAGTTGAACCTTCCTTTACACAGAGCAGTTTTGAAAAACTCTTTCTGTGGAATTTGCAAGTGGAGATTTCAAGCGATTTGAGGCTAATCTTTGAAATGGAAATATCTTCGTGTAAAAACTACACAGAATCATTCTCAGAAACTGCTTTGTTATGTGTGCGTTCAGCTCACACGGTTCCACCTTTCTTTTCATAGGGCAGTTTGGAAAGACTCTGTCTGTGAAGTCTGCAAGTGATTACTTGGACCCCTTTGAGGACTTCGTTGGAAGCGGGATTTTTTCATTTACTGCTAGACAGAAGAATTCTCAGTAAATCCTTTGTGTTGTGTGTATTCAACTCACAGAGTGGAACCTTCCTTTATTCAGAGCACTTTTGAAACACTCTTTTTGTGGAATTTGCAAGTGGAGATTTCAAGCGAATTCACGCCAATCTTAGACATGGAAACATCTTCGTATTAAAAGTACACAGAGTCATTCGCAGAAACTAGTTTGAGATGTGTGCCTTCAACTCACGGAGTTTAACCTTTCTTTTCATAGAGCAGTTTGGAAACACTCTATTTGTAAAGTCTGCAAGTGGATATTTGGACCTCTTTGAGGCCTTCGTTGGAAACGGGATTTCTTCATATAACGCTAGACAGAAGAATTCTCTGTAACTTCTTTGTGTTGTGTGTATTCCACTCACAGAGTTGAACCTTTCTTGAGAGAGAGCAGAGTTGAAACACTCTTTTTGTGGAATTTGCTAGTGCAGATTACAAACGCTTCGAAGACAGTGATAGAAAAGGATATATCTTCGTATTAAAACTAGACAAAATCATTCTCAACAACTACTTTGTGATGTGCGCGTTCAACTCACAGAGTTTAACCTTTCTTTTCATAGAGCAGTTTGGAAACACTCTGTTTGTAAAGTCTGCAGGTGCTTATTTGGACTTCTTTGAGGCCTTCGTTGGAAACGGGATTTCTTCATATAATGCTAGACAGAAGAATTCTCAGTCACTTCTTTGTGTTGTGTGTATTCAAGTCACAGAGTTGAACCTTCCTTTACACAGAGCAGTTTTGAAAAACTCTTTCTGTGGAATTTGCAAGTGGAGATTTCAAGCGATTTGAGGCTAATCTTTGAAATGGGAATAGCTTCGTGTAAAAACTACACAGAATCATTCTCAGAAACTGCTTTGTTATGTGTGCGTTCAGCTCACAGAGTTCCACCTTTCTTTTCATAGAGCAGTTTGGAAAGACTCTGTCTGTAAAGTCTGCAAGTGATTACTTGGACCCCTTTGAGGACTTCGTTGGAAGCGGGATTTTTTCATTTACTGCTAGACAGAAGAATTCTCAGTAAATCCTTTGTGTTGTGTGTATTCAACTCACAGAGTGGAACCTTCCTTTATTCAGAGCAGTTTTGAAACACTCTTTTTGTGGAATTTGCAAGTGGAGATTTCAAGCGAATTCACGCCAATCTTAGACATGGAAACATCTTCGTATTAAAAGTACACAGAGTCATTCGCAGAAACTAGTTTGTGATGTGTGCCTTCAACTCACGGAGTTTAACCTTTCTTTTCATAGAGCAGTTTGGAAACACTCTATCTGTAAAGTCTGCAAGTGGATATTTGGACCTCTTTGAGGCCTTCGTTGGAAACGGGATTTCTTCATATAACGCTAGACAGAAGAATTCTCAGTAACTTCTTTGTGTTGTGTGTATTCAACTCACAGAGTTGAACCTTTCTTGAGAGAGAGCAGAGTTGAAACACTCTTTCTGTGGAATTTGCTAGTGCAGATTTCAAACGCTTCGAAGACAGTGATAGAAAAGGATATATCTTCGTATTAAAACTAGACAAAATCATTCTCAGAAAACACTTTGTGATGTGTGTGTTCAACTCACAGAGTTTAACCTTTCTTTAATCGAGCAGTTTGGAAATACACTCTTTGTAAGTCTGCAGCTGGATAATTGTCCCTCTAGGAGCCCTACGTTGGAAACGGGATTTCCTCTTATAATGCTAGACAGAAGAATTCTCAGTAACTTCTTTGTGTTGTTTGTATTCAACTCACAGATTTGAACCTTCCTTTAGAGAGAGCAGATTTGAAACACTCTGTTTTTGGAATTTGCAAGTGCAGATTACAAGCGCTTCTAGGCCTATGGCAGAAAAGGAAATATCTTCGTATAAAAACTACACAGAATCATTCTCAACAACTACTTTGTGATGTGTGCGTTCAACTCACAGAGTTTAACCTTTCTTTTCATAGAGCAGTTTGGAAACACTCTGTTTGTAAAGTCTGCAGGTGCTTATTTGGACTTCTTTGAGGCCTTCGTTGGAAACGGGATTTCTTCATATAATGCTAGACAGAAGAATTCTCAGTCACTTCTTTGTGTTGTGTGTATTCAAGTCACAGAGTTGAACCTTCCTTTACACAGAGCAGTTTTGAAAAACTCTTTCTGTGGAATTTGCAAGTGGAGATTTCAAGCGACTTGAGGCTAATCTTTGAAATGGAAATATCTTCGTGTAAAAACTACACAGAATCATTCTCAGAAACTGCTTTGTTATGTGTGCGTTCAGCTCACAGAGTTCCACCTTTCTTTTCATAGAGCAGTTTGGAAAGACTCTGTCTGTAAAGTCTGCAAGTGATTACTTGGACCCCTTTGAGGACTTCGTTGGAAGCGGGATTTTTTCATTTACTGCTAGACAGAAGAATTCTCAGTAAATCCTTTGTGTTGTGTGTATTCAACTCACAGAGTGGAACCTTCCTTTATTCAGAGCAGTTTTGAAACACTCTTTTTGTGGAATTTGCAAGTGGAGATTTCAAACGAATTCACGCCAATCTTAGACATGGAAACATCTTCGTATTAAAAGTACACAGAGTCATTCGCAGAAACTAGTTTGTGATGTGTGCCTTCAACTCACGGAGTTTAACCTTTCTTTTCATAGAGCAGTTTGGAAACACTCTATTTGTAAAGTCTGCAAGTGGATATTTGGACCTCTTTGAGGCCTTCGTTGGAAACGGGATTTCTTCATATAACGCTAGACAGAAGAATTCTCAGTAACTTCTTTGTGTTGTGTGTATTCCACTCACAGAGTTGAACCTTTCTTGAGAGAGAGCAGAGTTGAAACACTCTTTTTGTGGAATTTGCTAGTGCAGATTTCAAACACTTCGAAGACAGTGATAGAAAAGGATATATCTTCGTATTAAAACTAGACAAAATCATTCTCAGAAAACACTTTGTGATGTGTGTGTTCAACTCACAGAGTTTAACCTTTCTTTAATCGAGCAGTTTGGAAATACACTCTTTGTAAGTCTGCAGCTGGATAATTGTCCCTCTATGAGCCCTTCGTTGGAAACGGGATTTCCTCTTATAATGCTAGACAGAAGAATTCTCAGTAACTTCTTTGTGTTGTTTGTATTCAACTCACAGATTTGAACCTTCCTTTAGAGAGAGCAGATTTGAAACACTCTGTTTTTGGAATTTGCAAGTGCAGATTTCAAGCGCTTCTAGGCCTATGGCAGAAAAGGAAATATCTTCGTATAAAAACTACACAGAATCATTCTCAACAACTACTTTGTGATGTGTGCGTTCAACTCCCAGAGTTTAACCTTTCTTTTCATAGAGCAGTTTGGAAACACTCTGTTTGTAAAGCCTGCAAGTGCTTTTTTGGACTTCATTGAGGCCTTCGTTGGAAACGGGATTTCTTCATACAACGCTAGACAGAAGAATTCTCAGTTACTTCTTTGTGTTGTGTGTATTCAACTCACAGAGTTGAACCTTTCTTTAGAGAGAGCAGAGTTGAAACACTCTGTTTTTGGAATTTGCAAGTGCAGATTTCAAGCGATTCTAGGCCTATGGCAGAAAAGGAAATATCTTCGTATAAAAACTACACAGAATCATTCTCAACAACTACTTTGTGATGTGTGCGTTCAACTTCACAGAGTTTAACCTTTCTTTTCATAGAGCAGTTTGGAAACACTCTGTTTGTAAAGCCTGCAAGTGCTTTTTTGGACTTCATTGAGGCCTTCGTTGGAAACGGGATTTCTTCATATAATGCTAGACAGAAGAATTCTCAGTCACTTCTTTGTGTTTTGTGTATTCAAGTCACAGAGTTGAACCTTCCTTTAGACAGAGCACTTTTGAAAAATACTTTCTGTGGAATTTGCAATTGGAGATTTTAAGAGATTTGAGGCTAATCTTTGAAATGGAAATATCTTCGTGTAAAAACTACACAGAATCATTCTCAGAAACTGCTTTGTTATCTGTGCGTTCAGTTCACAGAGTTTCACCTTTCTCTTCATAGAGCAGTTTGGAAAGACTCTGTCTGTAAAGTCTGCAAGTGATTAGTTAGACCCCTTTGAGGCCTTCGTTGGAAGCGGGATTTCTCATTTACTGCTAGACAGAAGAATTCTCAGTAAATCCTTTGTGTTGTGTGTATTCAACTCACAGAGTGGAACCTTCCTTTATTCAGAGCAGTTTTGAAAAACACTTTTTGTGGAATTTGCAAGTGGAGATTTCAAGCGATTTGATGCCAATCTTAGACATGGAAATATCTTCATATTAAAAGTACACAGAGTCATTCGTAGAAACTAGTTTGTGATGTGTGCCTTCAACTCACAGAGTTTAACCTTTCTTTTCATAGAGCAGTTGGGAAACACTCTATTTGTAAAGTCTGCAAGTGGATATTTGGACCTCTTTGAGGCCTTCGTTGGAAATGGGATTTCTTCATACAACACTAGACAGAAGAATTCTCAGTAACTTCTTTGTGTTGTGTGTATTCAACTCACAGAGTTGAACCTTTCTTTAGAGAGAGCAGAGTTGAAACACTCTGTTTTTGGAATTTGCAAGTGCAGATTTCAAGCGATTCTAGGCCTATGGCAGGAAAGGAAATATCTTCGTATGAAAACTACACAGAATCATTCTCAACAACTACTTTGTGATGTGTGCGTTCAGCTCACAGAGTTTAACCTTTCTTTTCATAGAGCAGTTTGGAAACACTCTGTTTGTAAAGTCTGCAGGTGCTTATTTGGACTTCTTTGAGGCCTTCGTTGGAAACGGGATTTCTTCATATAATGCTAGACAGAAGAATTCTCAGTCACTTCTTTGTGTTGTGTGGATTCAAGTCACAGAGTTGAACCTTCCTTTACACAGAGCAGTTTTGAAAAACTCTTTCTGTGGAATTTGCAAGTGGAGATTTCAAGCGATTTGAGGCTAATCTTTGAAATGGAAATATCTTCGTGTAAAAACTACACAGAATCATTCTCAGAAACTGCTTTGTTATGTGTGCGTTCAGCTCACAGAGTTCCACCTTTGTTTTCATAGAGCAGTTTGGAAAGACTCTGTCTGTAAAGTCTGCAAGTGATTACTTGGACCCCTTTGAGGACTTCGTTGGAAGCGGGATTTTTTCATTTACTGCTAGACAGAAGAATTCTCAGTAAATCCTTTGTGTTGTGTGTATTCAACTCACAGAGTGGAACCTTCCTTTATTCAGAGCAGTTTTGAAACACTCTTTTTGTGGAATTTGCAAGTGGAGATTTCAAGCGAATTCACGCCCATCTTAGACATGGAAACATCTTCGTATTAAAAGTACACAGAGTCATTCGCAGAAACTAGTTTGTGATGTGTGCCTTCAACTCACGGAGTTTAACCTTTCTTTTCATAGAGCAGTTTGGAAACACTCTATTTGTAAGTCTGCAAGTGGATATTTGGACCTCTTTGAGGCCTTCGTTGGAAACGGGATTTCTTCATATAACGCTAGACAGAAGAATTCTCAGTAACTTCTTTGTGTTGTGTGTATTCCACTCACAGAGTTGAACCTTTCTTGAGAGAGAGCAGAGTTGAAACACTCTGTTTGTGGAATTTGCTAGTGCAGATTTCAAACGCTTCAAAGACAGTGATAGAAAAGGATATATCTTCGTATTAAAACTAGACAAAATCATTCTCAGAAAACACTTTGTGATGTGTGTGTTCAACTCACAGAGTTTAACCTTTCTTTAATCGAGCAGTTTGGAAATACACTCTTTGTAAGTCTGCAGCTGGATAATTGTCCCTCTATGAGCCCTTCGTTGGAAACGGGATTTCCTCATATAATGCTAGACAGAAGAATTCTCAGTAACTTCTTTGTGTTGTTTGTATTCAACTCACAGATTTGAACCTTCCTTTAGAGAGAGCAGATTTGAAACACTGTGGTTTTGGAATTTGCAAGTGCAGATTACAAGCGCTTCTAGGCCTATGGCAGAAAAGGAAATATCTTCGTATAAAAACTACACAGAATCATTCTCACCAACTACTTTGTGATGTGTGCGTTCAACTCACAGAGTTTAACCTTTCTTTTCATAGAGCAGTTTGGAAACACTCTGTTTGTAAAGTCTGCAGGTGCTTATTTGGACTTCTTTGAGGCCTTCGTTGGAAACGGGATTTCTTCATATAATGCTAGACAGAAGAATTCTCAGTCACTTCTTTGTGTTGTGTGTATTCAAGTCACAGAGTTGAACCTTCCTTTACACAGAGCAGTTTTGAAAAACTCTTTCTGTGGAATTTGCAAGTGGAGATTTCAAGCGATTTGAGGCTAATCTTTGAAATGGAAATATCTTCGTGTAAAAACTACACAGAATCATTCTCAGAAACTGCTTTGTTATGTGTGCGTTCAGCTCACAGAGTTCCACCTTTCTTTTCATAGAGCAGTTTGGAAAGACTCTGTCTGTAAAGTCTGCAAGTGATTACTTGGACCCCTTTGAGGACTTCGTTGGAAGCGGGATTTTTTCATTTACTGCTAGACAGAAGAATTCTCAGTAAATCCTTTGTGTTGTGTGTATTCAACTCACAGAGTGGAACCTTCCTTTATTCAGAGCAGTTTTGAAACACTCTTTTTGTGGAATTTGCAAGTGGAGATTTCAAGCGAATTCACGCCAATCTTAGACATGGAAACATCTTCGTATTAAAAGTACACAGAGTCATTCGCAGAAACTAGTTTGTGATGTGTGCCTTCAACTCACAGAGTTTAACCTTTCTTTTCATAGAGCAGTTTGGAAACACTCTATTTGTAAAGTCTGCAAGTGGATATTTGGACCTCTTTGAGGCCTTCGTTGGAAACGGGATTTCTTCATATAACGCTAGACAGAAGAATTCTCAGTAACTTCTTTGTGTTGTGTGTATTCCACTCACAGAGTTGAACCTTTCTTGAGAGAGAGCAGAGTTGAAACCCTCTGTTTGTGGAATTTGCTAGTGCAGATTTCAAACGCTTCGAAGACAGTGATAGAAAAGGATATATCTTCGTATTAAAACTAGACAAAATCATTCTCAGAAAACACTTTGTGATGTGTGTGTTCAACTCACAGAGTTTAACCTTTCTTTAATCGAGCAGTTTGGAAATACACTCTTTGTAAGTCTGCAGCTGGATAATTGTCCCTCTATGAGCCCTTCGTTGGAAACGGGATTTCCTCTTATAATGCTAGACAGAAGAATTCTCAGTAACTTCTTTGTGTTGTTTGTATTCAACTCACAGATTTGAACCTTCCTTTGGAGAGAGCAGATTTGAAACACTCTGTTTTTGGAATTTGCAAGTGCAGATTGCAAGCGCTTCTAGGCCTATGGCAGAAAAGGAAATATCTTCGTATAAAAACTACACAGAATCATTCTCAACAACTACTTTGTGATGTGTGCGTTCAACTCACAGAGTTTAACCTTTCTTTTCATAGAGCAGTTTGGAAACACTCTGTTTGTAAAGTCTGCAGGTGCTTATTTGGACTTCTTTGAGGCCTTCGTTGGAAACGGGATTTCTTCATATAATGCTAGACAGAAGAATTCTCAGTCACTTCTTTGTGTTGTGTGTATTCAAGTCACAGAGTTGAACCTTCCTTTACACAGAGCAGTTTTGAAAAACTCTTTCAGTGGAATTTGCAAGTGGAGATTTCAAGCGATTTGAGGCTAATACTTTGAAATGGAAATATCTTCGTGTAAAAACTACACAGAATCATTCTCAGAAACTGCTTTGTCATCTGTGCGTTCAGTTCACAGAGTTTCACCTTTCTCTTCATAGAGCAGTTTGGAAAGACTCTGTCTGTAAAGTCTGCAAGTGATTAGTTAGACCCCTTTGAGGCCTTCGTTGGAAGCGGGATTTCTCATTTACTGCTAGACAGAAGAATTCTCAGTAAATCCTTTGTGTTGTGTGTATTCAACTCACAGAGTGGAACCTTCCTTTATTCAGAGCAGTTTTGAAAAACACTTTTCGTGGAATTTGCAAGTGGAGATTTCAAGCGATTTGACGCCAATCTTAGACATGGAAATATCTTCATATTAAAAGTACACAGAGTCATTCGTAGAAACTAGTTTGTGATGTGTGCCTTCAACTCACAGAGTTTAACCTTTCTTTTCATAGAGCAGTTGGGAAACACTCTATTTGTAAAGTCTGCAAGTGGATATTTGGACCTCTTTGAGGCCTTCGTTGGAAACGGTATTTCTTCATACAACGCCAGACAGAAGAATTCTCAGTAACTTCTTTGTGTTGTGTGTATTCAACTCACAGAGTTGAACCTTTCTTTAGAGGGAGCAGAGGTGAAACAGTCTTTTTGTGGAATTTGCCAGTGTAGATTTCAAACGCTTCGAAGTCAGTGATAGAAAAGGAGATATCTTCGTATTAAAAGTAGACAAAATCATTCTCAGAAAACTCTTTGTGATGTGTGTGTTCAACTCACAGAGTTTAACCTTTCTTTAATCGAGCAGTTTGGAAATACACTCTTTGTAAGTCTGCAGGTGGATATTTGGCCCTCTTTGAGCCCTTCTTTGGAAACGGGATTTCCTCTTATAATGCTAGACAGAAGAATTCACAGTAACTTCTCTGTGTTGTTTGTATTCAACACACAGATTTGAACCTTCCTTTAGAGAGAGCAGATATGAAACACTCTGTTTTTGGAATTTGCAAGTGCAGATTTCAAGCACTTCTAGGCCTATGGCAGAAAAGGAAATATCTTCGTATAAAAACTACACAGAATCATTCTCAACAACTACTTTGTGATGTGTGCGTTCAACTCACAGAGTTTAACCTTTCTTTTCATAGAGCAGTTTGGAAACACTCTGTTTGTAAAGCCTGCAAGTGCTTTTTTGGACTTCATTGAGGCCTTCGTTGGAAACGGGATTTCTTCATACAACGCTAGACAGAAGAATTCTCAGTCACTTCTTTGTGTTGTGTGTATTCAACTCACAGAGTTGAACCTTTCTTTAGAGAGAGCAGAGTTGAAACACTCTGTTTTTGGAATTTGCAAGTGCAGATTTCAAGCGATTCTAGGGCTATGGCAGAAAAGGAAATATCTTCGTATAAAAACTACACAGAATCATTCTCAACAACTACTTTGTGATGTGTGCGTTCAACTCACAGAGTTTAACCTTTCTTTTCATAGAGCAGTTTGGAAACACTCTGTTTGTAAAGTCTGCAGGTGCTTATTTGGACTTCTTTGAGGCCTTCGTTGGAAACGGGATTTCTTCATATAATGCTAGACAGAAGAATTCTCAGTCACTTCTTTGTGTTGTGTGTATTCAAGTCACAGAGTTGAACCTTCCTTTACACAGAGCAGTTTTGAAAAACTCTTTCTGTGGAATTTGCAAGTGGAGATTTCAAGCGATTTGAGGCTAATCTTTGAAATGGAAATATTCTTCGTGTAAAAACTACACAGAATCATTGTCAGAAACTGCTTTGTTATGTGTGCGTTCAGCTCACAGAGTTCCACCTTTCTTTTCATAGAGCAGTTTGGAAAGACTCTGTCTGTAAAGTCTGCAAGTGATTACTTGGACCCCTTTGAGGACTTCGTTGGAAGCGGGATTTTTTCATTTACTGCTAGACAGAAGAATTCTCAGTAAATCCTTTGTGTTGTGTGTATTCAACTCACAGAGTGGAACCTTCCTTTATTCAGAGCAGTTTTGAAACACTCTTTTTGTGGAATTTGCAAGTGGAGATTTCAAGCGAATTCACGCCAATCTTAGACATGGAAACATCTTCGTATTAAAAGTACACAGAGTCATTCGCAGAAACTAGTTTGTGATGTGTGCCTTCAACTCACGGAGTTTAACCTTTCTTTTCATAGAGCAGTTTGGAAACACTCTATTTGTAAAGTCTGCAAGTGGATATTTGGACCTCTTTGAGGCCTTCGTTGGAAACGGGATTTCTTCATATAACGCTAGACAGAAGAATTCTCAGTACCTTCTTTGTGTTGTGTGTATTCAACTCACAGAGTTGAACCTTTCTTTAGAGAGAGCAGAGTTGAAACACTCTTTTTGTGGAATTTGCTAGTGCAGATTTCAAACGCTTCGAAGACAGTGATAGAAAAGGATATATCTCCGTATTAAAACTAGACAAAATCATTCTCAGAAAACACTTTGTGATGTGTGTGTTCAACTCACAGAGTTTAACCTTTCTTTAATCGAGCAGTTTGGAAATACACTCTTTGTAAGTCTGCAGCTGGATAATTGTCCCTACTATGAGCCCTTCGTTGGAAACGGGATTTCCTCATATAATGCTAGACAGAAGAATTCTCAGTAACTTCTTTGTGTTGTTTGTATTCAACTCACAGCATTTGAACCTTCCTTTAGAGAGAGCAGATTTGAAACACTCTGTTTTTGGAATTTGCAAGTGCAGATTGCAAGCGCTTCTAGGCCTATGGCAGAAAAGGAAATATCTTCGTATAAAAACTACACAGAATCATTCTCAACAACTACTTTGTGATGTGTGCGTTCAACTCACAGAGTTTAACCTTTCTTTTCATAGAGCAGTTTGGAAACACTCTGTTTGTAAAGTCTGCAGGTGCTTATTTGGACTTACTTTGAGGCCTTCGTTGGAAACGGGATTTCTTCATATAATGCTAGACAGAAGAATTCTCAGTCACTTCTTTGTGTTGTGTGTATTCAAGTCACAGAGTTGAACCTTCCTTTAGACAGAGCAGTTTTGAAAAATTCTTTCTGTGGAGTTTGCAAGTGGAGATTTCAAGCGATTTGAGGCTAATCTTTGAAATGGAAATATCTTCGTGTAAAAACTACACAGAATCATTCTCAGAAACTGCTTTGTCATCTGTGCGTTCAGTTCACAGAGTTTCACCTTTCTCTTCATAGAGCAGTTTGGAAAGACTCTGTCTGTAAAGTCTGCAAGTGATTAGTTAGAACCCTTTGAGGCCTTCGTTGGAAGCGGGATTTCTCATTTACTGCTAGACAGAAGAATTCTCAGTAAATCCTTTGTGTTGTGTGTATTCAACTCACAGAGTGGAACCTTCCTTTATTCAGAGCAGTTTTGAAACACTCTTTTTGTGGAATTTGCAAGTGGAGATTTCAAGCGATTTGATGCCAATCTTAGACATGGAAATATCTTCATATTAAAAGTACGCAGAGTCATTCGTAGAAACTAGTTTGTGATGTGTGCCTTCAACTCACAGAGTTTAACCTTTCTTTTAATAGAGCAGTTGGGAAACACTCTATTTGTAAAGTCTGCAAGTGGATACTTGGACCTCTTTGAGGCCTTCGTTGGAAACGGGATTTCTTCATATAACACTAGACAGAAGAATTCTCAGTAACTTCTTTGGGTTGTGTGTATTCAACTCACAGAGTTGAACCTTTCTTTAGAGGGAGCAGAGGTGAAACACTCTTTTTGTGGAATTTGCTAGTGTAGATTTCAAACGCTTCGAAGACAGTGATAGAAAAGGATATATCTTCGTATTAAAAGTAGACAAAATCATTCTCAGAAAACTCTTTGTGATGTGTGTGTTCAACTCACAGAGTTTAACCTTTCTTTAATCGAGCAGTTTGGAAATACACTCTTTGTAAGTCTGCAGGTGCATATTTGGCCCTCTTTGAGCCCTTCGTTGGAAACGGGATTTCCTCATATAATGCTAGACAGAAGAATTCTCAGTAACTTCTTTGTGTTGTTTGTATTCAACACACAGATTTGAACCTTCCTTTAGAGAGAGCAGATTTGAAACATTCTGTTCTTGGAATTTGCAAGTGCAGATTTCAAGCGCTTCTAGGCCTATGGCAGAAAAGGAAATATCTTCGTATAAAAACTACACAGAATCATTCTCAACAACTACTTTGTGATGTGTGCGTTCAACTCACAGAGTTTAACCTTTCTTTTCATAGAGCAGTTTGGAAACACTCTGTTTGTAAAGCCTGCAAGTGTTTTTTGGACTTCATTGAGGCCTTCGTTGGAAACGGGATTTCTTCTTACAACGCTAGACAGAAGAATTCTCAGTAAATCCTTTGTGTTGTGTGTATTCAACTCACAGAGTGGAACCTTCCTTTATTCAGAGCAGTTTTGAAACACTCTTTTTGTGGAATTTGCAAGTGGAGATTTCAAGCGAATTCACGCCAATCTTAGACATGGAAACATCTTCGTATTAAAAGTACACAGAGTCATTCGCAGAAACTAGTTTGTGATGTGTGCCTTCAACTCACAGAGTTTAACCTTTATTTTCATAGAGCAGTTTGGAAACACTCTATTTGTAAAGTCTGCAAGTGGATATTTGGACCTCTTTGAGGCCTTCGTTGGAAACGGGATTTCTTCATATAACGCTAGACAGAAGAATTCTCAGTAACTTCTTTGTGTTGTGTGTATTCCACTCACAGAGTTGAACCTTTCTTGAGAGAGAGCAGAGTTGAAACACTCTGTTTGTGGAATTTGCTAGTGCAGATTTCAAACGCTTCGAAGACAGTGATAGAAAAGGATATATCTTCGTATTAAAACTAGACAAAATCATTCTCAGAAAACACTTTGTGATGTGTGTGTTCAACTCACAGAGTTTAACCTTTCTTTAATCGAGCAGTTTGGAAATACACTCTTTGTAAGTCTGCAGCTGGATAATTGTCCCTCTATGAGCCCTTCGTTGGAAACGGGATTTCCTCTTATAATGCTAGACAGAAGAATTCTCAGTAACTTCTTTGTGTTGTTTGTATTCAACTCACAGATTTGAACCTTCCTTTAGAGAGAGCAGATTTGAAACACTCTGTTTTTGGAATTTGCAAGTGCAGATTACAAGCGCTTCTAGGCCTATGGCAGAAAAGGAAATATCTTCGTATAAAAACTACACAGAATCATTCTCAACAACTACTTTGTGATGTGTGCGTACAACTCACAGAGTTTAACCTTTCTTTTCATAGAGCAGTTTGGAAACACTCTGTTTGTAAAGTTTGCAGGTGCTTATTTGGACTTCTTTGAGGCCTTCGTTGGAAACGGGATTTCTTCATATAATGCTAGACAGAAGAATTCTCAGTCACTTCTTTGTGTTGTGTGTATTCAAGTCACAGAGTTGAACCTTCCTTTACACAGAGCAGTTTTGAAAAACTCTTTCTGTGGAATTTGCAAGTGGAGATTTCAAGCGATTTGAGGCTAATCTTTGAAATGGAAATATCTTCGTGTAAAAACTACACAGAATCATTCTCAGAAACTGCTTTGTTATGTGTGCGTTCAGCTCACAGAGTTCCACCTTTCTTTTCATAGAGCAGTTTGGAAAGACTCCGTCTGTAAAGTCTGCAAATGATTACTTGGACCCCTTTGAGGACTTCGTCGGAAGCGGGATTTTTTCATTTACTGCTAGACAGAAGAATTCTCAGTAAATCCTTTGTGTTGTGTGTATTCAACTCACAGAGTGGAACCTTCCTTTATTCAGAGCAGTTTTGAAACACTCTTTTGGTGGAATTTGCAAGTGGAGATTTCAAGCGAATTCACGCCAATCTTAGACATGGAAACATCTTCGTATTAAAAGTACACAGAGTCATTCGCAGAAACTAGTTTGTGATGTGTGCCTTCAACTCACGGAGTTTAACCTTTCTTTTCATAGAGCAGTTTGGAAACACTCTATTTGTAAAGTCTGCAAGTGGATATTTGGACCTCTTTGAGGCCTTCGTTGGAAACGGGATTTCTTCATATAACGCTAGACAGAAGAATTCTCAGTAACTTCTTTGTGTTGTGTGTATTCCACTCACAGAGTTGAACCTTTCTTGAGAGAGAGCAGAGTTGAAACACTCTGTTTGTGGAATTTGCTAGTGCAGATTTCAAACGCTTCGAAGACAGTGATAGAAAAGGATATATCTTCGTATTAAAACTAGACAAAATCATTCTCAGAAAACACTTTGTGATGTGTGTGTTCAACTCACAGAGTTTAACCTTTCTTTAATCGAGCAGTTTGGAAATACACTCTTTGTAAGTCTGCAGCTGGATAATTGTCCCTCTATGAGCCCTTCGTTGGAAACAGGATTTCCTCTTATAATGCTAGACAGAAGAATTCTCAGTAACTTCTTTGTGTTGTTTGTATTCAACTCACAGATTTGAACCTTCCTTTGGAGAGAGCAGATTTGAAACACTCTGTTTTTGGAATTTGCAAGTGCAGATTGCAAGCGCTTCTAGGCCTATGGCAGAAAAGGAAATATCTTCGTATAAAAACTACACAGAATCATTCTCAACAACTACTTTGTGATGTGTGCGTTCAACTCACAGAGTTTAACCTTTCTTTTCATAGAGCAGTTTGGAAACACTCTGTTTGTAAAGTCTGCAGGTGCTTATTTGGACTTCTTTGAGGCCTTCGTTGGAAACGGGATTTCTTCATGTAATGCTAGACAGAAGAATTCTCAGTCACTTCTTTGTGTTGTGTGTATTCAAGTCACAGAGTTGAACCATCCTTTACACAGAGCAGTTTTGAAAAACTCTTTCTGTGGAATTTGCAAGTGGAGATTTCAAGCGATTTGAGGCTAATCTTTGAAATGGAAATAGCTTCGTGTAAAAACTACACAGAATCATTCTCAGAAACTTCTTTGTTATGTGTGCGTTCAGCTCACAGAGTTCCACCTTTCTTTTCATAGAGCAGTTTGGAAAGACTCTGTCTGTAAAGTCTGCAAGTGATTACTTGGACCCCTTTGAGGACTTCGTTGGAAGCGGGATTTTTTCATTTACTGCTAGACAGAAGAATTCTCAGTAAATCCTTTGTGTTGTGTGTATTCAACTCACAGAGTGGAACCTTCCTTTATTCAGAGCACTTTTGAAACACTCTTTTTGTGGAATTTGCAAGTGGAGATTTCAAGCGAATTCACGCCAATCTTAGACATGGAAACATCTTCGTATTAAAAGTACACAGAGTCATTCGCAGAAACTAGTTTGTGATGTGTGCCTTCAACTCACGGAGTTTAACCTTTCTTTTCATAGAGCAGTTTGGAAACACTCTATTTGTAAAGTCTGCAAGTGGATATTTGGACCTCTTTGAGGCCTTCGTTGGAAACGGGATTTCTTCATATAACGCTAGACAGAAGAATTCTCAGTAACTTCTTTGTGTTGTGTGTATTCAACTCACAGAGTTGAACCTTTCTTGAGAGAGAGCAGAGTTGAAACACTCTTTCTGTGGAATTTGCTAGTGCAGATTTCAAACGCTTCGAAGACAGTGATAGAAAAGGATATATCTTCGTATTAAAACTAGACAAAATCATTCTCAGAAAACACTTTGTGATGTGTGTGTTCAACTCACAGAGTTTAACCTTTCTTTAATCGAGCAGTTTGGAAATACACTCTTTGTAAGTCTGCAGCTGGATAATTGTCCCTCTATGAGCCCTTCGTTGGAAACGGGATTTCCTCTTATAATGCTAGACAGAAGAATTCTCAGTAACTTCTTTGTGTTGTTTGTATTCAACTCACAGATTTGAACCTTCCTTTAGAGAGAGCAGATTTGAAACACTCTGTTTTCGGAATTTGCAAGTGCAGATTACAAGCGCTTCTAGGCCTATGGCAGAAAAGGAAATATCTTCGTATAAAAACTACACAGAATCATTCTCAACAACTACTTTGTGATGTGTGCGTTCAACTCACAGAGTTTAACCTTTCTTTTCATAGAGCAGTTTGGAAACACTCTGTTTGTAAAGTCTGCAGGTGCTTATTTGGACTTCTTTGAGGCCTTCGTTGGAAACGGGATTTCTTCATGTAATGCTAGACAGAAGAATTCTCAGTCACTTCTTTGTGTTGTGTGTATTCAAGTCACAGAGTTGAACCTTCCTTTACACAGAGCAGTTTTGAAAAACTCTTTCTGTGGAATTTGCAAGTGGAGATTTCAAGCGATTTGAGGCTAATCTTTGAAATGGAAATATCTTCGTGTAAAAACTACACAGAATCATTCTCAGAAACTGCTTTGTTATGTGTGCGTTCAGCTCACAGAGTTCCACCTTTCTTTTCATAGAGCAGTTTGGAAAGACTCTGTCTGTAAAGTCTGCAAGTGATTACTTGGACCCCTTTGAGGACTTTGTTGGAAGCGGGATTTTTTCATTTACTGCTAGACAGAAGAATTCTCAGTAAATCCTTTGTGTTGTGTGTATTCAACTCACAGAGTGAAACCTTCCTTTATTCAGAGCAGTTTTGAAACACTCTTTTTGTGGAAATTGCAAGTGGAGATTTCAAGCGAATTCACGCCAATCTTAGACATGGAAACATCTTCGTATTAAAAGTACACAGAGTCATTCGCAGAAACTAGTTTGTGATGTGTGCCTTCAACTCACGGAGTTTAACCTTTCTTTTCATAGAGCAGTTTGGAAACACTCTATTTGTAAAGTCTGCAAGGGGATATTTGGACCTCTTTGAGGCCTTCGTTGGAAACGGGATTTCTTCATATAACGCTAGACAGAAGAATTCTCAGTAACTTCTTTGTGTTGTGTGTATTCCACTCACAGAGTTGAACCTTTCTTGAGAGAGAGCAGAGTTGAAACACTCTTTCTGTGGAATTTGCTAGTGCAGATTTCAAACGCTTCGAAGACAGTGATAGAAAAGGATATATCTTCGTATTAAAACTAGACAAAATCATTCTCAGAAAACACTTTGTGATGTGTGTGTTCAACTCACAGAGTTTAACCTTTCTTTAATCGAGCAGTTTGGAAATACACTCTTTGTAAGTCTGCAGCTGGATAATTGTCCCTCTATGAGCCCTTCGTTGGAAACGGGATTTCCTCATATAATGCTAGACAGAAGAATTCTCAGTAACTTCTTTGTGTTGTTTGTATTCAACTCACAGATTTGAACCTTCCTTTGGAGAGAGCAGATTTGAAACACTCTGTTTTTGTAATTTGCAAGTGCAGATTGCAAGCGCTTCTAGGCCTATGGCAGAAAAGGAAATATCTTCGTATAAAAACTACACAGAATCATTCTCAACAACTACTTTGTGATGTGTGCGTTCAACTCACAGAGTTTAACCTTTCTTTTCATAGAGCAGTTTGGAAACACTCTGTTTGTAAAGTCTGCAGGTGCTTATTTGGACTTCTTTGAGGCCTTCGTTGGAAACGGGATTTCTTCATATAATGCTAGACAGAAGAATTCTCAGTCACTTCTTTGTGTTGTGTGTATTCAAGTCAAAGAGTTGAACCTTCCTTTACACAGAGCAGTTTTGAAAAACTCTTTCTGTGGAATTTGCAAGTGGAGATTTCAAGCGATTTGAGGCTAATCTTTGAAATGGAAATATCTTCGTTTAAAAACTACACAGAATCATTCTCAGAAACTGCTTTGTTATGTGTGCGTTCAGCTCACAGAGTTCCACCTTTCTTTTCATAGAGCAGTTTGGAAAGACTCTGTCTGTAAAGTCTGCAAGTGATTACTTGGACCCCTTTGAGGACTTCGTTGGAAGCGGGATTTTTTCATTTACTGCCAGACAGAAGAATTCTCAGTAAATCCTTTGTGTTGTGTGTACTCAACTCACAGAGTGGAACCTTCCTTTATTCAGAGCAGTTTTGAAACACTCTTTTTGTGGAATTTGCAAGTGGAGATTTCAAGCGAATTCACGCCAATCTTAGACATGGAAACATCTTCGTATTAAAAGTACACAGAGTCATTCGCAGAAACTAGTTTGTGATGTGTGCCTTCAACTCACGGAGTTTAACCTTTCTTTTCATAGAGCAGTTTGGAAACACTCTATTTGTAAAGTCTGCAAGTGGATATTTGGACCTCTTTGAGGCCTTCGTTGGAAACGGGATATCTTCATATAACGCTAGACAGAAGAATTCTCAGTAACTTCTTTGTGTTGTGTGTATTCAACTCACAGAGTTGAACCTTTCTTTAGAGGGAGCAGAGGTGAAACACTCTTTTTGTGGAATTTGCTAGTGTAGATTTCAAACGCTTCGAAGACAGTGATAGAAAAGGATATATCTTCGTATTAAAAGTAGACAAAATCATTCTCAGAAAACTCTTTGTGATGTGTGTGTTCAACTCACAGAGTTTAACCTTTCTTTAATCGAGCAGTTTGGAAATACACTCTTTGTAATTCTGCAGGTGGATATTTGGCCCTCTTTGAGCCCTTCGTTGGAAACGGGATTTCCTCATATAATGCTAGACAGAAGAATTCTCAGTAACTTCTTTGTGTTGTTTGTATTCAACACACAGATTTGAACCTTCCTTTAGAGAGAGCAGATTTGAAACACTCTGTTTTTGGAATTTGCAAGTGCAGATTTCAAGCGCTTCTAGGCCTATGGCAGAAAAGGAAATATCTTCGTATAAAAACTACACAGAATCATTCTCAACAACTACTTTGTGATGTGTGCGTTCAACTCACAGAGTTCAACTCACCTTTCTTTTCATAGAGCAGTTTGGAAACACTCTGTTTGTAAAGCCTGCAAGTGCTTTTTTGGACTTCATTGAGGCCTTCGTTGGAAACGGGATTTCTTCATATAATGCTAGACAGAAGAATTCTCAGTCACTTCTTTGTGTTGTGTGTATTCAAGTCACAGAGTTGAACCTTCCTTTAGACAGAGCAGTTTTGAAAAATTCTTTCTGTGGAGTTTGCAAGTGGAGATTTCAAGCGATTTGAGGCTAATCTTTGAAATGGAAATATCTTCGTGTAAAAACTACACAGAATCATTCTCAGAAACTGCTTTGTCATCTGTGCGTTCAGTTCACAGAGTTTCACCTTTCTCTTCATAGAGCAGTTTGGAAAGACTCTGTCTGTAAAGTCTGCAAGTGATTAGTTAGACCCCTTTGAGGCCTTCGTTGGAAGCGGGATTTCTCATTTACTGCTAGACAGAAGAATTCTCAGTAAATCCTTTGTGTTGTGTGTATTCAACTCACAGAGTGGAACCTTCCTTTATTCAGAGCAGTTTTGAAAAACACTTTTTGTGGAATTTGCAAGTGGAGATTTCAAGCGATTTGACGCCAATCTTAGACATGGAAATATCTTCATATTAAAAGTACACAGAGTCATTCGTAGAAACTAGTTTGTGATGTGTGCCTTCAACTCACAGAGTTTAACCTTTCTTTAATCGAGCAGTTTGGAAATACACTCTTTGTAAGTCTGCAGGTGGATATTTGGCCCTCTTTGAGCCCTTCGTTGGAAACGGGATTTCCTCATATAATGCTAGACAGAAGAATTCTCAGTAACTTCTTTGTGTTGTTTGTATTCAACACACAGATTTGAACCTTCCTTTAGAGAGAGCAGATTTGAAACACTCTGTTTTTGGAATTTGCAAGTGCAGATTTCAAGCGCTTCTAGGCCTATGGCAGAAAAGGAAATATCTTCGTATAAAAACTACACAGAATCATTCTCAACAACTACTTTGTGATGTGTGCGTTCAACTCACAGAGTTTAACCTTTCTTTTCATAGAGCAGTTTGGAAACACTCTGTTTGTAAAGCCTGCAAGTGCTTTTTTGGACTTCATTGAGGCCTTCGTTGGAAACAGGGATTTCTTCATATAATGCTAGACAGAAGAATTCTCAGTCACTTCTTTGTGTTGTGTGTATTCAAGTCACAGAGTTGAACCTTCCTTTAGACAGAGCAGTTTTGAAAAATTCTTTCTGTGGAATTTGCAAGTGGAGATTTCAAGCGATTTGAGGCTAATCTTTGAAATGGAAATATCTTCGTGTAAAAACTACACAGATTCATTCTCAGAAACTGCTTTGTTATCTGTGCGTTCAGTTCACAGAGTTTCACCTTTCTCTTCATAGAGCAGTTTGGAAAGACTCTGTCTGTAAAGTCTGCAAGTGATTAGTTAGACCCCTTTGAGGCCTTCGTTGGAAGCGGGATTTCTCATTTACTGTTAGAAGAATTCTCAGTAAATCCTTTGTGTTGTGTGTATTCAACTCACAGAGTTGAACCTTCCTTTATTCAGAGCAGTTTTGAAAAACACTTTTTGTGGAATTTGGAAGTGGAGATTTCAAGCGATTTGACGCCAATCTTAGACATGGAAATATCTTCATATTAAAAGTACACAGAGTCATTCGTAGAAACTAGTTTGTGATGTGTGCCTTCAACTCACAGAGTTTGACCTTTCTTTTCATAGAGCAGTTTGGAACACTCTATTTGTAAAGTCTGCAAGTGGATATTTGGACCTCTTTGAGGCCTTCGTTGGAAAAGGAATTTCTTCATACAACGCTAGACAGAAGAATTCTCAGTAACTTCTTTGTGTTGTTTGTATTCAACTCACAGATTTGAACCTTCCTTTGGAGAGAGCAGATTTGAAACACTCTGTTTTTGGAATTTGCAAGTGCAGATTGCTAGCGCTTCTAGGCCTATGGCAGAAAAGGAAATATCTTCGTATAAAAACTACACAGAATCATTCTCAACAACTACTTTGTGATGTGTGCGTTCAACTCACAGAGTTTAACCTTTCTTTTCATAGAGCAGTTTGGAAACACTCTGTTTGTAAAGTCTGCAGGTGCTTATTTGGACTTCTTTGAGGCCTTCGTTGGAAACGGGATTTCTTCATATAATGCTAGACAGAAGAATTCTCAGTCACTTCTTTGTGTTGTGTGTATTCAAGTCACAGAGTTGAACCTTCCTTTACACAGAGCAGTTTTGAAAAACTCTTTCTGTGGAATTTGCAAGTGGAGATTTCAAGCGATTTGAGGCTAATCTTTGAAATGGAAATATCTTCGTGTAAAAACTACACAGAATCATTCTCAGAAACTGCTTTGTTATGTGTGCGTTGAGCTCACAGAGTTCCACCTTTCTTTTCATAGAGCAGTTTGGAAAGACTCTGTCTGTAAAGTCTGCAAGTGATTACTTGGACCCCTTTGAGGACTTCGTTGGAAGCGGGATTTTTTCATTTACTGCTAGACAGAAGAATTCTCAGTAAATCCTTTGTGTTGTGTGTATTCAACTCACAGAGTGGAACCTTCCTTTATTCAGAGCAGTTTTGAAACACTCTTTTTGTGGAATTTGCAAGTGGAGATTTCAAGCGAATTCACGCCAATCTTAGACATGGAAACATCTTCGTATTAAAAGTACACAGAGTCATTCGCAGAAACTAGTTTGTGATGTGTGCCTTCAACTCACGGAGTTTAACCTTTCTTTTCATAGAGCAGTTTGGAAACACTCTATTTGTAAAGTCTGCAAGTGGATATTTGGACGTCTTTGAGGCCTTCGTTGGAAACGGGATTTCTTCATATAACGCTAGACAGAAGAATTCTCAGTAACTTCTTTGTGTTGTGTGTATTCCACTCACAGAGTTGAACCTTTCTTGAGAGAGAGCAGAGTTGAAACACTCTGTTTGTGGAATTTGCTAGTGCAGATTTCAAACGCTTCAAAGACAGTGATAGAAAAGGATATATCTTCGTATTAAAACTAGACAAAATCATTCTCAGAAAACACTTTGTGATGTGTGTGTTCAACTCACAGAGTTTAACCTTTCTTTAATCGAGCAGTTTGGAAATACACTCTTTGTAAGTCTGCAGCTGGATAATTGTCCCTCTATGAGCCCTTCGTTGGAAACGGGATTTCCTCTTATAATGCTAGACAGAAGAATTCTCAGTAACTTCTTTGTGTTGTTTGTATTCAACTCACAGATTTGAACCTTCCTTTGGAGAGAGCAGATTTGAAACACTCTGTTTTTGGAATTTGCAAGTGCAGATTGCAAGCGCTTCTAGGCCTATGGCAGAAAAGGAAATATCTTCGTATAAAAACTACACAGAATCATTCTCAACAACTACTTTGTGATGTGTGCGTTCAACTCACAGAGTTTAACCTTTCTTTTCATAGAGCAGTTTGGAAACACTCTGTTTGTAAAGTCTGCAGGTGCTTATTTGGACTTCTTTGAGGCCTTCGTTGGAAACGGGATTTCTTCATATAATGCTAGACAGAAGAATTCTCAGTCACTTCTTTGTGTTGTGTGTATTCAAGTCACAGAGTTGAACCTTCCTTTACACAGAGCAGTTTTGAAAAACTCTTTCTGTGGAATTTGCAAGTGGAGATTTCAAGCGATTTGAGGCTAATCTTTGAAATGGAAATATCTTCGTGTAAAAACTACACAGAATAATTCTCAGAAACTGCTTTGTTATGTGTGCGTTCAGCTCACAGAGTTCCACCTTTCTTTTCATAGAGCAGTTTGGAAAGACTCTGTCTGTAAAGTCTGCAAGTGATTACTTGGACCCCTTTGAGGACTTCGTTGGAAGCGGGATTTTTTCATTTACTGCTAGACAGAAGAATTCTCAGTAAATCCTTTGTGTTGTGTGTATTCAACTCACAGAGTGGAACCTTCCTTTATTCAGAGCAGTTTTGAAACACTCTTTTTGTGGAATTTGCAAGTGGAGATTTCAAGCGAATTCACGCCAATCTTAGACATGGAAACATCTTCGTATTAAAAGTACACAGAGTCATTCGCAGAAACTAGTTTGTGATGTGTGCCTTCAACTCACAGAGTTTAACCTTTCTTTTCATAGAGCAGTTTGGAAACACTCTATTTGTAAAGTCTGCAAGTGGATATTTGGACCTCTTTGAGGCCTTCGTTGGAAACGGGATTTCTTCATATAACGCTAGACTGAAGAATTCTCAGTAACTTCTTTCTGTTGTGTGTATTCCACTCACAGAGTTGAACCTTTCTTGAGAGAGAGCAGAGTTGAAACACTCTGTTTGTGGAATTTGCTAGTGCAGATTTCAAACGCTTCGAAGACAGTGATAGAAAAGGATATATCTTCGTATTAAAACTAGACAAAATCATTCTCAGAAAACACTTTGTGATGTGTGCGTTCAACTCACAGAGTTTAACCTTTCTTTAATCGAGCAGTTTGGAAATACACTCTTTGTAAGTCTGCAGCTGGATAATTGTCCCTCTATGACCCCTTCGTTGGAAACGGGATTTCCTCTTATAATGCTAGACAGAAGAATTCTCAGTCACTTCTTTGTGTTGTGTGTATTCAAGTCACAGAGTTGAACCTTCCTTTAGACAGAGCAGTTTTGAAAAATTCTTTCTGTGGAGTTTGCAAGTGGAGATTTCCAGCGATTTGAGGCTAATTCTTTGAAATGGAAATATCTTCGTGTAAAAACTACACAGAATCATTCTCAGAAACTGCTTTGTCATCTGTGCGTTCAGTTCACAGAGTTTCACCTTTCTCTTCATAGAGCAGTTTGGAAAGACTCTGTCTGTAAAGTCTGCAAGTGATTAGTTTGACCCCTTTGAGGCCTTCGTTGGAAGCGGGATTTCTCATTTACTGCTAGACAGAAGAATTCTCAGTAAATCCTTTGTGTTGTGTGTATTCAACTCACAGAGTGGAACCTTCCTTTATTCAGAGCAGTTTTGAAAAACACTTTTTGTGGAATTTACAAGTGGAGATTTCAAGCGATTTGACGCCAATCTTAGACATGGAAATATCTTCATATTAAAAGTACACAGAGTCATTCGTAGAAACTAGTTTGTGATGTGTGCCTTCAACTCACAGAGTTTAACCTTTCTTTTCATAGAGCAGTTGGGAAACACTCTATTTGTAAAGTCTGCAAGTGGATATTTGGACCTCTTTGAGGCCTTCGTTGGAAACGGGATTTCTTCATATAACGCTAGACAGAAGAATTCTCAGTAACTTCTTTGTGTTGTGTGTATTCAACTCACAGAGTTGAACCTTTCTTTAGAGGGAGCAGAGGTGAAACACTCTTTTTGTGGAATTTGCTAGTGCAGATTTCAAACGCTTCGAAGACAGTGATAGAAAAGGATATATCTTCGTATTAAAAGTAGACAAAATCATTCTCAGAAAACTCTTTGTGATGTGTGTGTTCAACTCACAGAGTTTAACCTTTCTTTAATCGAGCAGTTTGGAAATACACTCTTTGTAAGTCTGCAGGTGGATATTTGGCCCTCTTTGAGCCCTTCGTTGGAAACGGGATTTCCTCATATAATGCTAGACAGAAGAATTCTCAGTAACTTCTTTGTGTTGTGTGTATTCAACTCACAGAGTTGAACCTTTCTTTAGAGAGAGCAGAGTTGAAACACTCTGTTTTTGGAATTTGCAAGTGCAGATTTCAAGCGATTCTAGGCCTATGGCAGAAAAGTAAATATCTTCGTATAAAAACTACACAGAATCATTCTCAACAACTACTTTGTGATGTGTGCGTTCAACTCACAGAGTTTAACCTTTCTTTTCATAGAGCAGTTTGGAAACACTCTGTTTGTAAAGCCTGCAAGTGCTTTTTTGGACTTCATTGAGGCCTTCGTTGGAAACGGGATTTCTTCATATAATGCTAGACAGAAGAATTCTCAGTCACTTCTTTGTGTTGTGTGTATTCAAGTCACAGAGTTGAACCTTCCTTTAGACAGAGCAGTTTTGAAAAATTCTTTCTGTGGAGTTTGCAAGTGGAGATTTCAAGCGATTTGAGGCTAATCTTTGAAATGGAAATATCTTCGTGTAAAAACTACACAGAATCATTCTCAGAAACTGCTTTGTCATCTGTGCGTTCAGTTCACAGAGTTTCACCTTTCTCTTCATAGAGCAGTTTGGAAAGACTCTGTCTGTAAAGTCTGCAAGTGATTAGTTAGACCCCTTTGAGGCCTTCGTTGGAAGCGGGATTTCTCATTTACTGCTAGACAGAAGAATTCTCAGTAAATCCTTTGTGTTGTGTGTATTCAACTCACAGAGTGGAACCTTCCTTTATTCAGAGCAGTTTTGAAAAACACTTTTTGTGGAATTTGCAAGTGGAGATTTCAAGCGATTTGACGCCAATCTTAGACATGGAAATATCTTCATATTAAAAGTACACAGAGTCATTCGTAGAAACTAGTTTGTGATGTGTGCCTTCAACTCACAGAGTTTAACCTTTCTTTTCATAGAGCAGTTTGGAAACACTCTATTTGTAAAGTCTGCAAGTGGATATTTGGACCTCTTTGAGGCCTTCGTTGGAAACGGGATATCTTCATACAACGCTAGACAGAAAGAATTCTCAGTAACTTCTTTGTGTTGTTTGTATTCAACTCACAGATTTGAACCTTCCTTTGGAGAGAGCAGATTTGAAACACTCTGTTTTTGGAATTTGCAAGTGCAGATTGCAAGCGCTTCTAGGCCTATGGCAGAAAAGGAAATATCTTCGTATAAAAACTACACAGAATCATTCTCAGAAAACACTTTGTGATGTGTGTGTTCAACTCACAGAGTTTAACCTTTCTTTAATCGAGCAGTTTGGAAATACACTCTTTGTAAGTCTGCAGCTGGATAATTGTCCCTCTATGAGCCCTTCGTTGGAAACGGGATTTCCTCTTATAATGCTAGACAGAAGAATTCTCAGTAACTTCTTTGTGTTGTTTGTATTCAACTCACAGATTTGAACCTTCCTTTAGAGAGAGCAGATTTGAAACACTCTGTTTTTGGAATTTGCAAGTGGAGATTACAAGCGCTTCTAGGCCTATGGCAGAAAAGGAAATATCTTCGTATAAAAACTACACAGAATCATTCTCAGAAAACACTTTGTGATGTGTGTGTTCAACTCACAGAGTTTAACCTTTCTTTAATCGAGCAGTTTGGAAATACACTCTTTGTAAGTCTGCAGCTGGATAATTGTCCCTCTATGAGCCCTTCGTTGGAAACGGGATTTCCTCTTATAAAGCTAGACAGAAGAATTCTCAGTAACTTCTTTGTGTTGTTTGTATTCAACTCACAGATTTGAACCTTCCTTTGGAGAGAGCAGATTTGAAACACTCTGTTTTTGGAATTTGCAAGTGCAGATTGCAAGCGCTTCTAGGCCTATGGCAGAAAATTAAATATCTTCGTATAAAAACTACACAGAATCATTCTCAACAACTACTTTGTGATGTGTGCATTCAACTCACAGAGTTTTACCTTTCTTTTCATAGAGCAGTTTGGAAACACTCTGTTTGTAAAGTCTGCAGGTGCTTATTTGGACTTCTTTGAGGCCTTCGTTGGAAACGGGATTTCTTCGTATAATGCTAGACAGAAGAATTCTCAGTCACTTCTTTGTGTTGTGTGTATTCAAGTCACAGAGTTGAACCTTCCTTTACACAGAGCAGTTTTGAAAAACTCTTTCTGTGGAATTTGCAAGTGGAGATTTCAAGCGATTTGAGGCTAATCTTTGAAATGGAAATATCTTCGTGTAAAAACTACACAGAATCATTCTCAGAAACTGCTTTGTTATGTGTGCGTTCAGCTCACAGAGTTCCACCTTTCTTTTCATAGAGCAGTTTGGAAAGACTCTGTCTGTAAAGTCTGCAAGTGATTACTTGGACCCCTTTGAGGACTTCGTTGGAAGCGGGATTTTTTCATTTACTGCTAGACAGAAGAATTCTCAGTAAATCCTTTGTGTTGTGTGTATTCAACTCACAGAGTGGAACCTTCCTTTATTCAGAGCAGTTTTGAAACACTCTTTTTGTGGAATTTGCAAGTGGAGATTTCAAGCGAATTCACGCCAATCTTAGACATGGAAACATCTTCGTATTAAAAGTACACAGAGTCATTCGCAGAAACTAGTTTGTGATGTGTGCCTTCAACTCACGGAGTTTAACCTTTCTTTTCATAGAGCAGTTTGGAAACACTCTATTTGTAAAGTCTGCAAGTGGATATTTGGACCTCTTTGAGGCCTTCGTTGGAAACGGGATTTCTTCATATAACGCTAGACAGAAGAATTCTCAGTAACTTCTTTGTGTTGTGTGTATTCAACTCACAGAGTTGAACCTTTCTTGAGAGAGAGCAGAGTTGAAACACTCTTTCTGTGGAATTTGCTAGTGCAGATTTCAAACGCTTCGAAGACAGTGATAGAAAAGGATATATCTTCGTATTGAAACTAGACAAAATCATTCTCAGAAAACACTTTGTGATGTGTGTGTTCAACTCACAGAGTTTAACCTTTCTTTAATCGAGCAGTTTGGAAATACACTCTTTGTAAGTCTGCAGCTGGATAATTGTCCCTCTATGAGCCCTTCGTTGGAAACAGGATTTCCTCTTATAATGCTAGACAGAAGAATTCTCAGTAACTTCTTTGTGTTGTTTGTATTCAACTCACAGATTTGAACCTTCCTTTAGAGAGAGCAGATTTGAAACACTCTGTTTTTGGAATTTGCAAGTGCAGATTACAAGCGCTTCTAGGCCTATGGCAGAAAAGGAAATATCTTCGTATAAAAACTACACAGAATCATTCTCAACAACTACTTTGTGATGTGTGCGTTCAACTCACAGAGTTTAACCTTTCTTTTCATAGAACAGTTTGGAAACACTCTGTTTGTAAAGTCTGCAGGTGCTTATTTGGACTTCTTTGAGGCCTTCGTTGGAAACGGGATTTCTTCATATAATGCTAGACAGAAGAATTCTCAGTCACTTCTTTGTGTTGTGTGTATTCAAGACACAGAGTTGAACCTTCCTTTAGACAGAGCAGTTTTGAAAAATTCTTTCTGTGGAGTTTGCAAGTGGAGATTTCAAGCGATTTGAGGCTAATCTTTGAAATGGAAATATCTTCGTGTAAAAACTACACAGAAGCTTTCTCAGAAACTGCTTTGTCATCTGTGCGTTCAGTTCACAGAGTTTCACCTTTCTCTTCATAGAGCAGTTTGGAAAGACTCTGTCTTTAAAGTCTGCAAGTGATTAGTTAGACCCCTTTGAGGCCTTCGTTGGAAGCGGGATTTCTCATTTACTTCAAGACAGAAGAATTCTCAGTAAATCCTTTGTGTTGTGTGTATTCAACTCACAGAGTGGAACCTTCCTTTATTCAGAGCACTTTTGAAAAACACTTTTAGTGGAATTTGCAAGTGGAGAATTCAAGCGATTTGACGCCAATCTTAGACATGGAAATATCTTCATATTAAAAGTACACAGAGTCATTCGCAGAAACTAGTTTGTGATGTGTGCCTTCAACTCACAGAGTTTAACCTTTCTTTTCATAGAGCAGTTTGGAAACACTCTATTTGTAAAGTCTGCAAGTGGATATTTGGACCTCTTTGAGGCCTTCGTTGGAAACGGGATTTCTTCATATAACGCTAGACAGAAGAATTCTCAGTAACTTCTTTGTGTTGTGTGTATTCAACTCACAGAGTTGAACCTTTCTTGAGAGAGAGCAGAGTTGAAACACTCTTTTTGTGGAATTTGCTAGTGCAGATTTCAAACGCTTCGAAGACAGTGATAGAAAAGGATATATCTTCGTATTAAAACTAGACAAAATCATTCTCAGAAAACACTTTGTGATGTGTGTGTTCAACTCACAGAGTTTAACCTTTCTTTAATCGAGCAGTTTGGAAATGCACTCTTTGTAAGTCTGCAGGTGGATAATTGTCCCTCTATGAGCCCTTCGTTGGAAACGGGATTTCCTCATATAATGCTAGACAGAAGTATTCTCAGTAACTTCTTTGTGTTGTTTGTATTCAACTCACAGATTTGAAACTTCCTGTAGAGAGAGCAGATTTGAAACACTCTGTTTTTGGAATTTGCAAGTGCAGATTGCAAGCGCTTCTAGGCCTATGGCAGAAAAGGAAATATCTTCGTATAAAAACTACACAGAATCATTCTCAACAACTACTTTGTGATGTGTGCGTTCAACTCACAGAGTTTAACCTTTCTTTTCATAGAGCAGTTTGGAAACACTCTGTTTGTAAAGTCTGCAGGTGCTTATTTGGACTTCTTTGAGGCCTTCGTTGGAAACGGGATTTCTTCATATAATGCTAGACAGAAGAATTCTCAGTCACTTCTTTGTGTTGTGTGTATTCAAGTCACAGAGTTGAACATTCCTTTACACAGAGCAGTTTTGAAAAACTCTTTCTGTGGAATTTGCAAGTGGAGATTTCAAGCGATTTGAGGCCAATCTTTGAAATGGAAATATCTTCGTGTAAAAACTACACAGAATCATTCTCAGAAACTGCTTTGTTATGTGTGCGTTCAGCTCACAGAGTTCCACCTTTCTTTTCATAGAGCAGTTTGGAAAGACTCTGTCTGTAAAGTCTGCAAGTGATTACTTGGACCCCTTTGAGGACTTCGTTGGAAGCGGGATTTTTTCATTTACTGCTAGACAGAAAGAATTCTCATTAAAGCCTTTGTGTTGTGTGTATTCAACTCACAGAGTCGAACCTTCCTTTATTCAGAGCAGTTTTGAAACACTCTTTCTGTGGAATTTGCAAGTGGAGATTTCAGGCGATTTGAGGCTAATCTTTGAAATGGAAATATCTTCGTGTAAAAACTACACAGAATCATTCTCAGAAACTGCTTTCTTATGTGTGCCTTCAGCTCACAGAGTTCCACCTTTCTTTTCATAGAGCAGTTTGGAAAGACTCTGTCTGTAAAGTCTGCAAGTGATTAGTTAGACCCCTTTGAGGCCTTCGTAGGAAGCGGGATTTCTCATTTACTGCTAGACAGAAGAATTCTCAGTAAATCCTTTGTGTTGTGTGTATTCAACTCACAGAGTGGAACCTTCCTTTATTCAGAGCAGTTTTGAAAAACACTTTTTGTTGAATTTGCAAGTGGAGATTTCAAGCGATTTGACGCCAATCTTAGACATGGAAATATCTTCATATTAAAAGTATACAGTCATTCGTAGAAACTAGTTTGTGATGTGTGCCTTCAACTCACAGATTTTAACCTTTCTTTTCATAGAGCAGTTTGGAAACACTCTATTTGTAAAGTCTGCAAGTGGATATTTGGACCTCTTTGAGGCCTTCGTTGGAAACGGGATTTCTTCATATAACGCTAGACAGAAGAATTCTCAGTAACTTCTTTGTGTTGTGTGTATTCAACTCACAGAGTTGAACCTTTCTTGAGAGAGAGCAGAGTTGAAACACTCTTTTTGTGGAATTTGCTAGTACAGATTTCAAACGCTTCGAAGACAGTGATAGAAAAGGATATATCTTCGTATTAAAACTAGACAAAATCATTCTCAACAACTACTTTGTGATGTGTGCGTTCAGCTCACAGAGTTTAACCTTTCTTTTCATAGAGCAGTTTGGAAACACTCTGTTTGTAAAGTCTGCAGGTGCTTATTTGGACTTCTTTGAGGCCTTCGTTGGAAACGGGATTTCTTCATATAATGCTAGACAGAAGAATTCTCAGTCACTTCTTTGTGTTGTGTGGATTCAAGTCACAGAGTTGAACCTTCCTTTACACAGAGCAGTTTTGAAAAACTCTTTCTGTGGAATTTGCAAGTGGAGATTTCAAGCGATTTGAGGCTAATCTTTGAAATGGAAATAGCTTCGTGTAAAAACTACACAGAATCATTCTCAGAAACTGCTTTGTTATGTGTGCGTTCAGCTCACAGAGTTCCACCTTTCTTTTCATAGAGCAGGTTGGAAAGACTCTGTCTGTAAAGTCTGCAAGTGATTACTTGGACCCCTTTGAGGACTTCTTTGGAAGCGGGATTTTTTCATTTACTGCTAGACAGAAGAATTCTCATTAAATCCTTTGTGTTGTGTGTATTCAACTCACAGAGTTGAACCTTCCTTTATTCAGAGAAGTTTTGAAAAACACTTTTTGTGGAATTTGCAAGTGGAGATTTCAAGCGATTTGACACCAATCTTAGACGTGGAAATATCTTCATATTAAAAGTACACAGAGTCATTCGTAGAAACTAGTTTGTGATGTGTGCCTTCAACTCACAGAGTTTAACCTTTCTTTTCATAGAGCAGTTTGGAAACACTCTATTTGTAAAGTCTGCAAGTGGATATTTGGACCTCTTTGAGGCCTTCGTTGGAAATGGGATTTCTTCATATAACGCTAGACAGAAGAATTCTCAGTAACTTCTTTGTGTTGTGTGTATTCAACTCACAGAGTTGAACCTTTCTTGAGAGAGAGCAGAGTTGAAACACTCTTTTTGTGGAATTTGCTAGTGCAGATTTCAAACGCTTCGAAGTCTGTGATAGAAAAGGATATATCTTCGTACTAAAACTAGACAAAGTCATTCGCAGAAACTAGTTTGTGATGCGTGCGTTCAACTCACGGAGTTTAACCTTTCTTTTCATAGAGCAGTTTCGAAACACTCTGTTTGTAAAGTCTGCAGGTGCTTATTTGGACTTCTTTGAGGCCTTCGTTGGAAACGGGATTTCTTCATATAATGCTAGACAGAAGAATTCTCAGTCACTTCTTTGTGTTGTGTGTATTCAAGTCACAGAGTTGAACCTTCCTTTACACAGAGCAGTTTTGAAAAACTCTTTCTGTGGAATTTGCAAGTGGAGATGTCAAGCGATTTTAGGCTAATCTTTGAAATGGAAATATCTTCGTGTAAAAACTACACAGAATCATTCTCAGAAACTGCTTTGTTATGTGTGCGTTCAGCTCACAGAGTTCCACCTTTCTTTTCATAGAGCAGTTTGGAAAGACTCTGTCTGTAAAGTCTGCAAGTGATTACTTGGACCCCTTTGAGGACTTCGTTGGAAGCGGGATTTTTTCATTTACTGCTAGACAGAAGAATTCTCAGTAAATCCTTTGTGTTGTGTGTATTCAACTCACAGAGTGGAACCTTCCTCTATTCAGAGCAGTTTTGAAACATTCTTTTTGTGGAATTTGCAGGTGGAGATTTCAAGCGAATTCACGCCAATCTTAGACATGGAAACATCTTCGTATTAAAAGTACACAGAGTCATTCGCAGAAACTAGTTTGTGATGTGTGCCTTCAACTCACGGAGTTTAACCTTTCTTTTCATAGAGCAGTTTGGAAACACTCTATTTGTAAAGTCTGCAAGTGGATATTTGGACCTCTTTGAGGCCTTCGTTGGAAACGGGATTTCTTCATATAACGCTAGACAGAAGAATTCTCAGTAACTTCTTTGTGTTGTGTGTATTCCACTCACAGAGTTGAACCTTTCTTGAGAGAGAGCAGAGTTGAAACACTCTGTTTGTGGAATTTGCTAGTGCAGATTTCAAACACTTCGAAGACAGTGATAGAAAAGGATATATCTTCGTATTAAAACTAGACAAAATCATTCTCAGAAAACACTTTGTGATGTGTGTGTTCAACTCACAGAGTTTAACCTTTCTTTAATCGAGCAGTTTGGAAATACACTCTTTGTAAGTCTGCAGCTGGATAATTGTCCCTCTATGAGCCCTTCGTTGGAAACGGGATTTCCTCTTATAATGCTAGACAGAAGAATTCACAGTAACTTCTTTGTGTTGTTTGTATTCAACTCACAGATTTGAACCTTCCTTTAGAGAGAGCAGATTTGAAACACTCTGTTTTTGGAATTTGCAAGTGCAGATTACAAGCGCTTCTAGGCCTATGGCAGAAAAGGAAATATCTTCGTATAAAAACTACACAGAATCATTCTCAACAACTACTTTGTGATGTGTGCGTTCAACTCACAGAGTTTAACCTTTCTTTTCATAGAGCAGTTTGGAAACACTCTGTTTGTAAAGTCTGCAGGTGCTTCTTTGGACTTCTTTGAGGCCTTCGTTGGAAACGGGATTTCTTCATATAATGCTAGACAGAAGAATTCTCAGTCACTTCTTTGTGTTGTGTGTATTCAAGTCACAGAGTTGAACCTTCCTTTACACAGAGCAGTTTTGAAAAACTCTTTCTGTGGAATTTGCAAGTGGAGATTTCAAGCGATTTGAGGCTAATCTTTGAAATGGAAATATCTTCGTGTAAAAACTACACAGAATCATTGTCAGAAACTGCTTTGTTATGTGTGCGTTCAGCTCACAGAGTTCCACCTTTCTTTTCATAGAGCAGTTTGGAAAGACTCTGTCTGTAAAGTCTGCAAGTGATTACTTGGACCCCTTTGAGGACTTCGTTGGAAGCGGGATTTTTTCATTTACTGCTAGACAGAAGAATTCTCAGTAAATCCTTTGTTTTGTGTGTATTCAACTCACAGAGTGGAACCTTCCTTTATTCAGAGCAGTTTTGAAACACTCTTTTTGTGGAATTTGCAAGTGGAGATTTCAAGCGAATTCACGCCAATCTTAGACATGGAAACATCTTCGTATTAAAAGTACACAGAGTCATTCGCAGAAACTAGTTTGTGATGTGTGCCTTCAACTCACAGAGTTTAACCTTTCTTTTCATAGAGCAGTTTGGAAACACTCTATTTGTAAAGTCTGCAAGTGGATATTTGGACCTCTTTGAGGCCTTCGTTGGAAACGGGATTTCTTCATATAACGCTAGACAGAAGAATTCTCAGTAACTTCTTTGTGTTGTGTGTATTCCACTCACAGAGTTGAACCTTTCTTGAGAGAGAGCAGAGTTGAAACCCTCTGTTTGTGGAATTTGCTAGTGCAGATTTCAAACGCTTCGAAGACAGTGATAGAAAAGGATATATCTTCGTATTAAAACTAGACAAAATCATTCTCAGAAAACACTTTGTGATGTGTGTGTTCAACTCACAGAGTTTAACCTTTCTTTAATCGAGCAGTTTGGAAATACACTCTTTGTAAGTCTGCAGCTGGATAATTGTCCCTCTATGAGCCCTTCGTTGGAAACGGGATTTCCTCTTATAATGCTAGACAGAAGAATTCTCAGTAACTTCTTTGTGTTGTTTGTATTCAACTCACAGATTTGAACCTTCCTTTAGAGAGAGCAGATTTGAAACACTCTGTTTTTGGAATTTGCAAGTGCAGATTACAAGCGCTTCTAGGCCTATGGCAGAAAAGGAAATATCTTCGTATAAAAACTACACAGAATCATTCTCGACAACTACTTTGTGATGTGTGCGTTCAACTCACAGAGTTTAACCTTTCTTTTCATAGAGCAGTTTGGAAACACTCTGTTTGTAAAGTCTGCAGGTGCTTATTTGGACTTCTTTGAGGCCTTCGTTGGAAACGGGATTTCTTCATATAATGCTAGACAGAAGAATTCTCAGTCACTTCTTTGTGTTGTGTGTATTCAAGTCACAGAGTTGAACCTTCCTTTACACAGAGCAGTTTTGAAAAACTCTTTCTGTGGAATTTGCAAGTGGAGATTTCAAGCGATTTGAGGCTAATCTTTGAAATGGAAATAGCTTCGTGTAAAAACTACACAGAATCATTCTCAGAAACTGCTTTGTTATGTGTGCGTTCAGCTCACAGAGTTCCACCTTTCTTTTCATAGAGCAGTTTGGAAAGACTCTGTCTGTAAAGTCTGCAAGTGATTAGTTGGACCCCTTTGAGGACTTCGTTGGAAGCGGGATTTTTTCATTTACTGCTAGACAGAAGAATTCTCAGTAAATCCTTTGTGTTGTGTGTATTCAACTCACAGAGTGGAACCTTCCTTTATTCAGAGCAGTTTTGAAACACTCTTTTTGTGGAAATTGCAAGTGGAGATTTCAAGCGAATTCACGCCAATCTTAGACATGGAAACATCTTCGTATTAAAAGTACACAGAGTCATTCGCAGAAACTAGTTTGTGATGTGTGCCTTCAACTCACGGAGTTTAACCTTTCTTTTCATAGAGCAGTTTGGAAACACTCTCTTTGTAAAGTCTGCAAGTGGATATTTGGACCTCTTTGAGGCCTTCGTTGGAAACGGGATTTCTTCATATAACGCTAGACAGAAGAATTCTCAGTAACTTCTTTGTGTTGTGTGTATTCCACTCACAGAGTTGAACCTTTCTTGAGAGAGAGCAGAGTTGAAACACTCTTTCTGTGGAATTTGCTAGTGCAGATTTCAAACGCTTCGAAGACAGTGATAGAAAAGGATATATCTTCGTATTAAAACTAGACAAAATCATTCTCAGAAAACACTTTGTGATGTGTGTGTTCAACTCACAGAGTTTAACCTTTCTTTAATCGAGCAGTTTGGAAATACACTCTTTGTAAGTCTGCAGCTGGATAATTGTCCCTCTATGAGCCCTTCGTTGGAAACGGGATTTCCTCTTATAATGCTAGACAGAAGAATTCTCAGTAACTTCTTTGTGTTGTTTGTATTCAACTCACAGATTTGAACCTTCCTTTGGAGAGAGCAGATTTGAAACACTCTGTTTTTGGAATTTGCAAGTGCAGATTGCAAGCGCTTCTAGGCCTATGGCAGAAAAGGAAATATCTTCGTATAAAAACTACACAGAATCATTCTCAACAACTACTTTGTGATGTGTGCGTTCAACTCACAGAGTTTAACCTTTCTTTTCATAGAGCAGTTTGGAAACACTCTGTTTGTAAAGTCTGCAGGTGCTTATTTGGACTTCTTTGAGGCCTTCGTTGGAAACGGGATTTCTTCATATAATGCTAGACAGAAGAATTCTCAGTCACTTCTTTGTGTTGTGTGTATTCAAGTCACAGAGTTGAACCTTCCTTTACACAGAGCAGTTTTGAAAAACTCTTTCTGTGGAATTTGCAAGTGGAGATTTCAAGCGATTTGAGGCTAATGCTTTGAAATGGAAATAGCTTCGTGTAAAAACTACACAGAAATCATTCTCAGAAACTGCTTTGTTATGTGTGCGTTCAGCTCGCAGAGTTCCACCTTTCTTTTCATAGAGCAGTTTGGAAAGACTCTGTCTGTAAAGTCTGCAAGTGATTACTTGGACCCCTTTGAGGACTTCGTTGGAAGCGGTATTTTTTCATTTACTGCTAGACAGAAGAATTCTCAGTAAATCCTTTGTGTTGTGTGTATTCAACTCACAGAGTGGAACCTTCCTTTATTCAGAGCAGTTTTGAAAAACACTTTTTGTGGAATTTGCAAGTGGAGATTTCAAGCGATTTGACGCCAATCTTAGACATGGAAATATCTTCATATTAAAAGTACACAGAGTCATTCGTAGAAACTAGTTTGTGATGTGTGCCTTCAACTCACAGAGTTTAACCTTTCTTTTCATAGAGCAGTTGGGAAACACTCTATTTGTAAAGTCTGCAAGTGGATATTTGGACCTCTTTGAGGCCTTCGTTGGAAACGGGATTTCTTCATATAACGCTAGACAGAAGAATTCTCAGTAACTTCTTTGTGTTGTGTGTATTCAACTCACAGAGTTGAACCTTTCTTTAGAGGGAGCAGAGGTGAAACACTCTTTTTGTGGAATTTGCTAGTGTAGATTTCAAACGCTTCGAAGACAGTGATAGAAAAGGATATATCTTCGTATTAAAAGTAGACAAAATCATTCTCAGAAAACTCTTTGTGATTTGTGTGTTCAACTCACAGAGTTTAACCTTTCTTTTCATAGAGCAGTTTGGAAACACTCTGTTTGTAAAGCCTGCAAGTGCTTTTTTGGACTTCATTGAGGCCTTCGTTGGAAACGGGATTTCTTCATACAACGCTAGACAGAAGAATTCTCAGTAACTTCTTTGTGTTGTGTGTATTCAACTCACAGAGTTGAACCTTTCTTTAGAGAGAGCAGAGTTGAAACACTCTGTTTTTGGAATTTGCAACTGCAGATTTCAAGCGATTCTAGGCCTATGGCAGAAAAGGAAATATCTTCGTATAAAAACTACACAGAATCATTCTCAACAACTACTTTGTGATGTGTGCGTTCAACTCACAGAGTTTAACCTTTCTTTTCATAGAGCAGTTTGGAAACACTCTGTTTGTAAAGCCTGCAAGTGCTTTTTTGGACTTCATTGAGGCCTTCGTTGGAAACGGGATTTCTTCATATAATGCTAGACAGAAGAATTCTCAGTCACTTCTTTGTGTTGTGTGTATTCAAGTCACAGAGTTGAACCTTCCTTTAGACAGAGCAGTTTTGAAAAGTTCTTTCTGTGTAATTTGCAAGTGGAGATTTCAAGCGATTTGAGGCTAATCTTTGAAATGGAAATATCTTCGTGTAAAAACTACACAGAATCATTCTCAGAAACTGCTTTGTCATCTGTGCGTTCAGTTCACAGAGTTTCACCTTTCTCTTCATAGAGCAGTTTGGAAAGACTCTGTCTGTAAAGTCTGCAAGTGATTAGTTAGACCCCTTTGAGGCCTTCGTTGGAAGCGGGATTTCTCATTTACTGCTAGACAGAAGAATTCTCAGTAAATCCTTTGTGTTGTGTGTATTCAACTCACAGAGTGGAACCTTCCTTTATTCAGAGCAGTTTTGAAACACTCTTTTTGTGGAATTTGCAAGTGGAGATTTCAAGCGATTTGACGCCAATCTTAGACATGGAAATATCTTCATATTAAAAGTACACAGAGTCATTCGTAGAAACTAGTTTGTGATGTGTGCCTTCAACTCACAGAGTTTAACCTTTCTTTTCATAGAGCAGTTGGGAAACACTCTATTTGTAAAGTCTGCAAGTGGATATTTGGACCTCTTTGAGGCCTTCGTTGGAAACGGGATTTCTTCATATAACGCTAGACAGAAGAATTCTCAGTAACTTCTTTGTGTTGTGTGTATTCAACTCACAGAGTTGAACCTTTCTTTAGAGGGAGCAGAGGTGAAACACTCTTTTTGTGGAATTTGCTAGTGTAGATTTCAAACGCTTCGAAGACAGTGATAGAAAAGGATATATCTTCGCATTAAAAGTAGACAAAATCATTCTCAACAACTACTTTGTGATGTGTGCGTTCAACTCACAGAGTTTAACCTTTCTTTTCATAGAGCAGTTTGGAAACACTCTGTTTGTAAAGCCTGCAAGTGCTTTTTTGGACTTCATTGAGGCCTTCGTTGGAAACGGGATTTCTTCATATAATGCTAGACAGAAGAATTCTCAGTCACTTCTTTGTGTTGTGTGTATTCAAGTCACAGAGTTGAACCTTCCTTTAGACAGAGCAGTTTTGAAAAATTCTTTCTGTGTAATTTGCAAGTGGAGATTTCAAGCGATTTGAGGCTAATCTTTGAAATGGAAATATCTTCGTGTAAAAACTACACAGAATCATTCTCAGAAACTGCTTTGTCATCTGTGCGTTCAGTTCACAGAGTTTCACCTTTCTCTTCATAGAGCAGTTTGGAAAGACTCTGTCTGTAAAGTCTGCAAGTGATTAGTTAGACCCCTTTGAGGCCTTCGTTGGAAGTGGGATTTCTCATTTACTGCTAGACAGAAGAATTCTCAGTAAATCCTTTGTGTTGTGTGTATTCAACTCACAGAGTGGAACCTTCCTTTATTCAGAGCAGTTTTGAAACACTCTTTTTGTGGAATTTGCAAGTGGAGATTTCAAGCGATTTGACGCCAATCTTAGACATGGAAATATCTTCATATTAAAAGTACACAGAGTCATTCGTAGAAACTAGTTTGTGATGTGTGCCTTCAACTCACAGAGTTTAACCTTTCTTTTCATAGAGCAGTTTGGAAACACTCTATTTGTAAAGTCTGCAAGTGGATATTTGGACCTCTTTGAGGCCTTCGTTGGAAACGGGATTTCTTCATACAACGCTAGACAGAAGAATTCTCAGTAACTTCTTTGTGTTGTGTGTATTCAACTCACAGAGTTGAACCTTTCTTTAGAGAGAGCAGAGTTGAAACACTCTGTTTTTGGAATTTGCAACTGCAGATTTCAAGCGATTCTAGGCCTATGGCAGAAAAGGAAATATCTTCGTATAAAAACTACACAGAATCATTCTCAACAACTACTTTGTGATGTGTGCGTTCAACTCACAGAGTTTAACCTTTCTTTTCATAGAGCAGTTTGGAAACACTCTGTTTGTAAAGCCTGCAAGTGCTTTTTTGCACTTCATTGAGGCCTTCGTTGGAAACGGGATTTCTTCATATAATGCTAGACAGAAGAATTCTCAGTCACTTCTTTGTGTTGTGTGTATTCAAGTCACAGAGTTGAACCTTCCTTTAGACAGAGCAGTTTTGAAAAATTCTTTCTGTGGAGTTTGCAAGTGGAGATTTCAAGCGATTTGAGGCTAATCTTTGAAACGGAAATATCTTCGTGTAAAAACTACACAGAATCATTCTCAGAAACTGCTTTGTTATGTGTGCGTTCAGCTCACAGAGTTCCACCTTTCTTTTCATAGAGCAGTTTGGAAAGACTCTGTCTGTAAAGTCTGCAAGTGATTACTTGGACCCCTTTGAGGACTTCGTTGGAAGCGGGATTTTTTCATTTACTGCTAGACAGAAGAATTCTCAGTAAATCCTTTGTGTTGTGTGTATTCAACTCACAGAGTGGAACCTTCCTGTATTCAGAGCAGTTTTGAAACACTCTTTTTGTGGAATTTGCAAGTGGAGATTTCAAGCGAATTCACGCCAATGCTTAGACATGGAAACATCTTCGTATTAAAAGTACACAGAGTCATTCGCAGAAACTAGTTTGTGATGTGTGCCTTCAACTCACAGAGTTTAACCTTTCTTTTCATAGAGCATTTTGGAAACACTCTATTTGTAAAGTCTGCAAGTGGATATTTGGACCTCTTTGAGGCCTTCGTTGGAAACGGGATTTCTTCATGTAACGCTAGACAGAAGAATTCTCAGTAACTTCTTTGTGTTGTGTGTATTCCACTCACAGAGTTGAACCTTTCTTGAGAGAGAGCAGAGTTGAAACACTCTGTTTGTGGAATTTGCCAGTGCAGATTTCAAACGCTTCGAAGACAGTGATAGAAAAGGATATATCTTCGTATTAAAACTAGACAAAATCATTCTCAACAACTACTTTGTGATGTGTGCGTTCAACTCACAGAGTTTAACCTTTCTTTTCATAGAGCAGTTTGGAAACACTCTGTTTGTAAAGTCTGCAGGTGCTTATTTGGACTTCTTTGAGGCCTTCGTTGGAAACGGGATTTCTTCATGTAATGCTAGACAGAAGAATTCTCAGTCACTTCTTTGTGTTGTGTGTATTCAAGTCACAGAGTTGAACCTTCCTTTACACAGAGCAGTTTTGAAAAACTCTTTCAGTGGAATTTGCAAGTGGAGATTTCAAGCGATTTGAGGCTAATACTTTGAAATGGAAATATCTTCGTGTAAAAACTACACAGAATCATTCTCAGAAACTGCTTTGTTATGTGTGCGTTCAGCTCACAGAGTTCCACCTTTCTTTTCATAGAGCAGTTTGGAAAGACTCTGTCTGTAAAGTCTGCAAGTGATTACTTGGACCCCTTTGAGGACTTCGTTGGAAGCGGGATTTTTTCATTTACTGCTAGACAGAAGAATTCTCAGTAAATCCTTTGTGTTGTGTGTATTCAACTCACAGAGTGGAACCTTCCTTTATTCAGAGCAGTTTTGAAACACTCTTTTTGTGGAACTTGCAAGTGGAGATTTCAAGCGAATTCACGCCAATCTTAGACATGGAAACAACTTCGTATTAAAAGTACACAGAGTCATTCGCAGAAACTAGCTTGTGATGTGTGCCTTCAACTCACGGAGTTTAACCTTTCTTTTCATAGAGCAGTTTGGAAACACTCTATTTGTAAAGTCTGCAAGTGGATATTTGGACCTCTTTGAGGCCTTCGTTGGAAACGGGATTTCTTCATATAACGCTAGACAGAAGAATTCTCAGTAACTTCTTTGTGTTGTGTGTATTCAACTCACAGAGTTGAACCTTTCTTGAGAGAGAGCAGAGTTGAAACACTCTGTTTGTGGAATTTGCTAGTGCAGATTTCAAACGCTTCGAAGACAGTGATAGAAAAGGATATCTTCGTATTAAAACTAGACAAAGTCATTCGCAGAAACTAGTTTGTGATGTGTGCGTTCAACTCACAGAGTTTAACCTTTCTTTTCATAGAGCAGTTTGGAAACACTCTGTTTGTAAAGTCTGCAGGTGCTTATTTGGACTTCTTTGAGGCCTTCGTTGGATACGGGATTTCTTCATATAATGCTAGACAGAAGAATTCTCTGTCACTTCTTTGTGTTGTGTGTATTCAAGTCACAGAGTTGAACCTTCCTTTACACAGAGCAGTTTTGAAAAACTCTTTCTGTGGAATTTGCAAGTGGAGATTTCAAGCGATTTGAGGCTAATCTTTGAAATGGAAATAGCTTCGTGTAAAAACTACACAGAATCATTCTCAGAAACTGCTTTGTTATGTGTGCGTTCAGCTCACAGAGTTCCACCTTTCTTTTCATAGAGCAGTTTGGAAAGACTCTGTCTGTAAAGTCTGCAAGTGATTACTTGGACCCCTTTGAGGACTTCGTTGGAAGCGGGATTTTTTCATTTACTGCTAGACAGAAGAATTCTCAGTAAATCCTTTGTGTTGTGTGTATTCAACTCACAGAGTGGAACCTTCCTTTATTCAGAGCAGTTTTGAAACACTCTTTTGGTGGAATTTGCAAGTGGAGATTTCAAGCGAATTCACGCCAATCTTAGACATGGAAACATCTTCGTATTAAAAGTACACAGAGTCATTCGCAGAAACTAGTTTGTGATGTGTGCCTTCAACTCACGGAGTTTAACCTTTCTTTTCATAGAGCAGTTTGGAAACACTCTATTTGTAAAGTCTGCAAGTGGATATTTGGACCTCTTTGAGGCCTTCGTTGGAAACGGGATTTCTTCATATAACGCTAGACAGAAGAATTCTCAGTAACTTCTTTGTGTTGTGTGTATTCCACTCACAGAGTTGAACCTTTCTTGAGAGAGAGCAGAGTTGAAACACTCTGTTTGTGGAATTTGCTAGTGCAGATTTCAAACGCTTCGAAGACAGTGATAGAAAAGGATATATACTTCGTATTAAAACTAGACAAAATCATTCTCAGAAAACACTTTGTGATGTGTGTGTTCAACTCACAGAGTTTAACCTTTCTTTAATCGAGCAGTTTGGAAATACACTCTTTGTAAGTCTGCAGCTGGATAATTGTCCCTCTATGAGCCCTTCGTTGGAAACGGGATTTCCTCTTATAATGCTAGACAGAAGAATTCTCAGTAACTTCTTTGTGTTGTTTGTATTCAACTCACAGATTTGAACCTTCCTTTGGAGAGAGCAGATTTGAAACACTCTGTTTTTGGAATTTGCAAGTGCAGATTGCAAGCGCTTCTAGGCCTATGGCAGAAAATTAAATATCTTCGTATAAAAACTACACAGAATCATTCTCAACAACTACTGTGTGATGTGTGCGTTCAACTCACAGTAGTTTAACCTTTCTTTTCATAGAGCAGTTTGGAAACACTCTGTTTGTAAAGTCTGCAGGTGCTTATTTGGACTTCTTTGAGGCCTTCGTTGGAAACGGGATTTCTTCATATAATGCTAGACAGAAGAATTCTCAGTCACTTCTTTGTGTTGTGTGTATTCAAGTCACAGAGTTGAACCTTCCTTTACACAGAGCAGTTTTGAAAAACTCTTTCTGTGGAATTTGCAAGTGGAGATTTCAAGCGATTTGAGGCTAATCTTTGAAATGGAAATATCTTCGTGTAAAAACTACACAGAATCATTGTCAGAAACTGCTTTGTTATGTGTGCGTTCAGCTCACAGAGTTCCACCTTTCTTTTCATAGAGCAGTTTGGAAAGACTCTGTCTGTAAAGTCTGCAAGTGATTACTTGGACCCCTTTGAGGACTTCGTTGGAAGCGGGATTTTTTCATTTACTGCTAGACAGAAGAATTCTCAGTAAATCCTTTGTGTTGTGTGTATTCAACTCACAGAGTGGAACCTTCCTTTATTCAGAGCAGTTTTGAAACACTCTTTTTGTGGAATTTGCAAGTGGAGATTTCAAGCGAATTCACGCCAATCTTAGACATGGAAACATCTTCGTATTAAAAGTACACAGAGTCATTCGCAGAAACTAGTTTGTGATGTGTGCCTTCAACTCACAGAGTTTAAGCTTTCTTTTCATAGAGCAGTTTGGAAACACTCTATTTGTAAAGTCTGCAAGTGGATATTTGGACCTCTTTGAGGCCTTCGTTGGAAACGGGATTTCTTCATATAACGCTAGACAGAAGAATTCTCAGTAACTTCTTTGTGTTGTGTGTATTCCACTCACAGAGTTGAACCTTTCTTGAGAGAGAGCAGAGTTGAAACACTCTGTTTGTGGAATTTGCTAGTGCCGATTTCAAACGCTTCGAAGACAGTGATAGAAAAGGATATATCTTCGTATTAAAACTAGACAAAATCATTCTCAGAAAACACTTTGTGATGTGTGTGTTCAACTCACAGAGTTTAACCTTTCTTTAATCGAGCAGTTTGGAAATACACTCTTTGTAAGTCTGCAGCTGGATAATTGTCCCTCTATGAGCCCTTCGTTGGAAACGGGATTTCCTCTTATAATGCTAGACAGAAGAATTCTCAGTAACTTCTTTGTGTTGTTTGTATTCAACTCACAGATTTGAACCTTCCTTTAGAGAGAGCAGATTTGAAAGACTCTGTTTTTGGAATTTGCAAGTGCAGATTGCAAGCGCTTCTAGGCCTATGGCAGAAAAGGAAATATCTTCGTATAAAAACTACACAGAATCATTCTCAGAAAACTCTTTGTGATGTGTGTGTTCAACTCACAGAGTTTAACCTTTCTTTAATCGAGCAGTTTGGAAATACACTCTTTGTAAGTCTGCAGGTGGATATTTGGCCCTCTTTGAGTCCTTCGTTGGAAACGGGATTTCCTCATATAATGCTAGACAGAAGAATTCTCAGTCACTTCTTTGTGTTGTGTGTATTCAAGTCACAGAGTTGAACCTTCCTTTAGACAGAGCAGTTTTGAAAAATTCTTTCTGTGGAGTTTGCAAGTGGAGATTTCAAGCGATTTGAGGCTAATCTTTGAAATGGAAATATCTTCGTGTAAAAACTACACAGAATCATTCTCAGAAACTGCTTTGTCATCTGTGCGTTCAGTTCACAGAGTTTCACCTTTCTCTTCATAGAGCAGTTTGGAAAGACTCTGTCTGTAAAGTCTGCAAGTGATTAGTTAGACCCCTTTGAGGCCTTCGTTGGAAGCGGGATTTCTCATTTACTGCTAGACAGAAGAATTCTCAGTAAATCCTTTGTGTTGTGTGTATTCAACTCACAGAGTGGAACCTTCCTTTATTCAGAGCAGCTTTGAAAAACACTTTTTGTGGAATTTGCAAGTGGAGATTTCAAGCGATTTGACGCCAATCTTAGACATGGAAATATCTTCATTTTAAAAGTACACAGAGTCATTCGTAGAAACTAGTTTGTGATGTGTGCCTTCAACTCACAGAGTTTAACCTTTCTTTTCATAGAGCAGTTGGGAAACACTCTATTTGTAAAGTCTGCAAGTGGATATTTGGACCTCTTTGAGGCCTTCGTTGGAAACGGGATTTCTTCATATAACGCTAGACAGAAGAATTCTCAGTCACTTCTTTGTGTTGTGTGTATTCAAGTCACAGAGTTGAACCTTTCTTTAGAGGGAGCAGAGGTGAAACACTCTTTTTGTGGAATTTGCTAGTGTAGATTTCAAACGCTTCGAAGTCAGTGATAGAAAAGGATATATCTTCGTATTAAAAGTAGACAAAATCATTCTCAGAAAACTCTTTGTGATGTGTGTGTTCAACTCACAGAGTTTAACCTTTCTTTAATCGAGCAGTTTGGAAATACACTCTTTGTAAGTCTGCAGGTGGATATTTGGCCCTCTTTGAGCCCTTCGTTGGAAACGGGATTTCCTCATATAATGCTAGACAGAAGAATTCTCAGTAACTTCTTTGTGTTGTTTGTATTCAACACACAGATTTGAACCTTCCTTTAGAGAGAGCAGATTTGAAACACTCTGTTTTTGGAATTTGCAAGTGCAGATTTCAAGCGCTTCTAGGCCTATGGCAGAAAAGGAAATATCTTCGTATAAAAACTACACAGAATCATTCTCAACAACTACTTTGTGATGTGTGCGTTCAACTCACAGAGGTTAACCTTTCTTTTCATAGAGCAGTTTGGAAACACTCTGTTTGTAAAGCCTGCAAGTGCTTTTTTGGACTTCATTGAGGCCTTCGTTGGAAACGGGATTTCTTCATACAACGCTATACAGAAGAATTCTCAGTCACTTCTTTGTGTTGTGTGTATTCAAGTCACAGAGTTGAACCTTCCTTTAGACAGAGCAGTTTTGAAAAATTCTTTCTGTGGAGTTTGCAAGTGGAGATTTCAAGCGATTTGAGGCTAATCTTTGAAATGGAAATATCTTCGTGTAAAAACTACACAGAATCATTCTCAGAAACTGCTTTGTCATCTGTGCGTTCAGTTCACACAGTTTCACCTTTCTCTTCATAGAGCAGTTTGGAAAGACTCTGTCTGTAAAGTCTGCAAGTGATTAGTTAGACCCCTTTGAGGCCTTCGTTGGAAGCGGGATTTCTCATTTACTGCTAGACAGAAGAATTCTCAGTAAATCCTTTGTGTTGTGTGTATTCAACTCACAGAGTGGAACCTTCCTTTATTCAGAGCAGTTTTGAAAAACACTTTTTGTGGAATTTGCAAGTGGAGATTTCAAGCGATTTGACGCCAATCTTAGACATGGAAATATCTTCATATTAAAAGTACACAGAGTCATTCGTAGAAACTAGTTTGTGATGTGTGCCTTCAACTCACAGAGTTTAACCTTTCTTTTCATAGAGCAGTTTGGAAACACTCTATTTGTAAAGTCTGCAAGTGGATATTTGGACCTCTTTGAGGCCTTCGTTGGAAACGGGATTTCTTCATACAACGCTAGACAGAAGAATTCTCAGTAACTTCTTTGTGTTGTGTGTATTCAACTCACAGAGTTGAACCTTTCTTTAGAGAGAGCAGAGTTGAAACACTCTGTTTTTGGAATTTGTAACTGCAGATTTCAAGCGATTCTAGGCCTATGGCAGAAAAGGAAATATCTTCGTATAAAAACTACACAGAATCATTCTCGAAAACTACTTTGTGATGTTTGCGTTCATCTCACAGAGTTTAACCTTTCTTTTCATAGAGCAGTTTGGAAACACTCTGTTTGTAAAGTCTGCAGGTGCTTATTTGGACTTCTTTGAGGCCTTAATTGGAAACGGGATTTCTTCATATACTGCTATACAGAAGAATTCTCAGTCACTTCTTTGTGTTGTGTGTATTCAAGTCACAGAGTTGAACCTTCCTTTACACAGAGCAGTTTTGAAAAACTCTTTCTGTGGAATTTGCAAGTGGAGATTTCAAGCGATTTGAGGCTAATCTTTGAAATGGAAATATCTTCGTGTAAAAACTACACAGAATCATTCTCAGAAACTGCTTTCTTATGTGTGCGTTCAGCTCACAGAGTTCCACCTTTCTTTTCATAGAACAGTTTGGAAAGACTCTGTCTGTTAAGTCTGCAACTGATTACTTGGACCACTTTGAGGACTTCGTTGGAAGCGGGATTTTTTCATTTACTGCTAGACAGAAGAATTCTCAGTAAATCCTTTGTGTTGTGTGTATTCAACTCACAGAGTTGAACTTTCCTTTATTCAGAGCAGTTTTGAAACACTCTTTTTGTGGAATTTGCAAGTGGACATTTGAAGAGATTTCACACCAATCTTAGACGTGGAAATATCTTCGTATTTAAAGTACCCAGAGTCATTCGCAGAAACTAGTTTGTGATGTGTGCCTTCAACTCACGGAGTTTAACCTTTCTTTTCATAGAGCAGTTTGGAAACACTCTATTTGTAAAGTCTGCAAGTGGATATTTGGACCTCTTTGAGGCCTTCGTTGGAAACGGGATTTCTTCATATAACGCTAGACAGAAGAATTCTCAGTAACTTCTTTGTGTTGTGTGTATTCAACTCACAGAGTTGAACCTTTCTTGAGAGAGAGCAGAGTCGAAACACTCTTTCTGTGGAATTTGCTAGTGCAGATTTCAAACGCTTCGAAGACAGTGATAGAAAAGGATATATCTTCGTATTAAAACTAGACAAAATCATTCTCAGAAAACACTTTGTGATGTGTGTGTTCAACTCACAGAGTTTAACCTTTCTTTAATCGAGCAGTTTGGAAATACACTCTTTGTAAGTCTGCAGCTGGATAATTGTCCCTCTATGAGCCCTTCGTTGGAAACAGGATTTCCTCTTATAATGCTAGACAGAAGAATTCTCAGTAACTTTTTTGTGTTGTTTGTATTCAACTCACAGATTTGAACCTTCCTTTAGAGAGAGCAGATTTGAAACACTCTGTTTTTGGAATTTGCAATTGCAGATTACAAGCCCTTCTAGGCCTATGGCAGAAAAGGAAATATCTTCGTATAAAAACTACACAGAATCATTCTCAACAACTACTTTGTGATGTGTGCGTTCAACTCACAGAGTTTAACCTTTCTTTTCATAGAGCAGTTTGGAAACACTCTGTTTGTAAAGTCTGCAGGTGCTTATTTGGACTTCTTTGAGGCCTTCGTTGGAAACGGGATTTCTTCATATAATGCTAGACAGAAGAATTCTCAGTCACTTCTTTGTGTTGTGTGTATTCAAGTCGCAGAGTTGAACCTTCCTTTACACAGAGCAGTTTTGAAAAACTCTTTCTGTGGAATTTGCAAGTGGAGATTTCAAGCGATTTGAGGCTAATCTTTGAAATGGAAATATCTTCATGTAAAAACTACACAGAATCATTGTCAGAAACTGCTTTGTTATGTGTGCGTTCAGCTCACAGAGTTCCACCTTTCTTTTCATAGGGCAGTTTGGAAAGACTCTGTCTGTGAAGTCTGCAAGTGATTACTTGGACCCCTTTGAGGACTTCGTTGGAAGCGGGATTTTTTCATTTACTGCTAGACAGAAGAATTCTCAGTAAATCCTTTGTGTTGTGTGTATTCAACTCACAGAGTGGAACCTTCCTTTATTCAGAGCAGTTTTGAAACACTCTTTTTGTGGAATTTGCAAGTGGAGATTTCAAGCGATTTGACGCCAATCTTAGACATGGAAATATCTTCATATTAAAAGTACACAGAGTCATTCGTAGAAACTAGTTTGTGATGTGTGCCTTCAACTCACAGAGTTTAACCTTTCTTTTCATAGAGCAGTTGGGAAACACTCTATTTGTAAAGTCTGCAAGTGGATATTTGGACCTCTTTGAGGCCTTCGTTGGAAACGGGATTTCTTCATATAACGCTAGACAGAAGAATTCTCAGTAACTTCTTTGTGTTGTGTGTATTCAACTCACAGAGTTGAACCTTTCTTTAGAGGGAGCAGAGGTGAAACACTCTTTTTGTGGAATTTGCTAGTGTAGATTTCAAACGCTTCGAAGACAGTGATAGAAAAGGATATATCTTCGTATTAAAAGTAGACAAAATCATTCTCAGAAAACTCTTTGTGATGTGTGTGTTCAACTCACAGAGTTTAACCTTTCTTTAATCGAGCAGTTTGGAAATACACTCTTTGTAAGTCTGCAGGTGGATATTTGGCCCTCTTTGAGCCCTTCGTTGGAAACGGGATTTCCTCATATAATGCTAGACAGAAGAATTCTCAGTAACTTCTTTGTGTTGTGTGTATTCAACTCACAGAGTTGAACCTTTCTTTAGAGAGAGCAGAGTTGAAACACTCTGTTTTTGGAATTTGCAAGTGGAGATTTCAAGCGATTCTAGGCCTATGGCAGAAAAGGAAATATCTTCGTATAAAAACTACACAGAATCATTCTCAACAACTACTTTGTGATGTGTGCGTTCAACTCACAGAGTTTAACCTTTCTTTTCATAGAGCAGTTTGGAAACACTCTGTTTGTAAAGCCTGCAAGTGCTTTTTTGGACTTCATTGAGGCCTTCGTTGGAAACGGGATTTCTTCATATAATGCTAGACAGAAGAATTCTCAGTCACTTCTTTGTGTTGTGTGTATTCAAGTCACAGAGTTGAACCTTCCTTTAGACAGAGCAGTTTTGAAAAATTCTTTCTGTGGAGTTTGCAAGTGGAGATTTCAAGTGATTTGAGGCTAATCTTTGAAATGGAAATATCTTCGTGTAAAAACTACACAGAATCATTCTCAGAAACTGCTTTGTCATCTGTGCGTTCAGTTCACAGAGTTTCACCTTTCTCTTCATAGAGCAGTTTGGAAAGACTCTGTCTGTAAAGTCTGCAAGTGATTAGTTAGACCCCTTTGAGGCCTTCGTTGGAAGCGGGATTTCTCATTTACTGCTAGACAGAAGAATTCTCAGTAAATCCTTTGTGTTGTGTGTATTCAACTCACAGAGTGGAACCTTCCTTTATTCAGAGCAGTTTTGAAACACTCTTTTTGTGGAATTTGCAAGTGGAGATTTCAAGCGATTTGACGCCAATCTTAGACATGGAAATATCTTCATATTAAAAGTACACAGAGTCATTCGTAGAAACTAGTTTGTGATGTGTGCCTTCAACTCACAGAGTTTAACCTTTCTTTTCATAGAGCAGTTGGGAAACACTCTATTTGTAAAGTCTGCAAGTGGATATTTGGACCTCTTTGAGGCCTTCGTTGGAAACGGGATTTCTTCATATAACGCTAGACAGAAGAATTCTCAGTAACTTCTTTGTGTTGTGTGTATTCAACTCACAGAGTTGAACCTTTCTTTAGAGGGAGCAGAGGTGAAACACTCTTTTTGTGGAATTTGCTAGTGCAGATTTCAAACGCTTCGAAGACAGTGATAGAAAAGGATATATCTTCGTATTAAAAGTAGACAAAATCATTCTCAGAAAACTCTTTGTGATGTGTGTGTTCAACTCACAGAGTTTAACCTTTCTTTAATCGAGCAGTTTGGAAATACACTCTTTGTAAGTCTGCAGGTGGATATTTGGCCCTCTTTGAGCCCTTCGTTGGAAACGGGATTTCCTCATATAATGCTAGACAGAAGAATTCTCAGTAACTTCTTTGTGTTGTTTGTATTCAACACACAGATTTGAACCTTCCTTTAGAGAGAGCAGATTTGAAACACTCTGTTTTTGGAATTTGCAAGTGCAGATTTCAAGCGCTTCTAGGCCTATGGCAGAAAAGGAAATATCTTCGTATAAAAACTACACAGAATCATTCTCAACAACTACTTTGTGATGTGTGCGTTCAACTCACAGAGTTTAACCTTTCTTTTCATAGAGCAGTTTGGAAACACTCTGTTTGTAAAGCCTGCAAGTGCTTTTTTGGACTTCATTGAGGCCTTCGTTGGAAACGGGATTTCTTCATATAATGCTAGACAGAAGAATTCTCAGTCACTTCTTTGTGTTGTGTGTATTCAAGTCACAGAGTTGAACCTTCCTTTAGACAGAGCAGTTTTGAAAAATTCTTTCTGTGGAGTTTGCAAGTGGAGATTTCAAGCGATTTGAGGCTAATCTTTGAAATGGAAATATCTTCGTGTAAAAACTACACAGAAGCATTCTCAGAAACTGCTTTGTCATCTGTGCGTTCAGGTCACAGAGTTTCACCTTTCTCTTCATAGAGCAGTTTGGAAAGACTCTGTCTTTAAAGTCTGCAAGTGATTAGTTAGACCCCTTTGAGGCCTTCGTTGGAAGCGGGATTTCTCATTTACTGCTAGACAGAAGAATTCTCAGTAAATCCTTTGTGTTGTGTGTATTCAACTCACAGAGTGGAACCTTTCTCTATTCAGAGCAGTTTTGAAACATTCTTTTTGTGGAATTTGCAGGTGGAGATTTCAAGCGAATTTACGCCAATCTTAGACATGGAAACATCTTCGTATTAAAAGTACACAGAGTCATTCGCAGAAACTAGTTTGTGATGTGTGCCTTCAACTCACGGAGTTTAACCTTTCTTTTCATAGAGCAGTTTGGAAACACTCTATTTGTAAAGTCTGCAAGTGGATATTTGGACCTCTTTGAGGCCTTCGTTGGAAACGGGATTTCTTCATATAACGCTAGACAGAAGAATTCTCAGTAACATCTTTGTGTTGTGTGTATTCCACTCACAGAGTTGAACCTTTCTTGAGAGAGAGCAGAGTTGAAACACTCTGTTTGTGGAATTTGCTAGTGCAGATTTCAAACGCTTCGAAGACAGTGATAGAAAAGGATATATCTTCGTATTAAAACTAGACAAAATCATTCTCAGAAAACACTTTGTGATGTGTGTGTTCAACTCACAGAGTTTAACCTTTCTTTAATCGAGCAGTTTGGAAATACACTCTTTGTAAGTCTGCAGCTGGATAATTGTCCCTCTATGAGCCCTTCGTTGGAAACAGGATTTCCTCTTATAATGCTAGACAGAAGAATTCTCAGTAACTTCTTTGTGTTGTTTGTATTCAACTCACAGATTTGAACCTTCCTTTAGAGAGAGCAGATTTGAAACACTCTGTTTTTGGAATTTGCAAGTGCAGATTACAAGCGCTTCTAGGCCTATGGCAGAAAAGGAAATATCTTCGTATAAAAACTACACAGAATCATTCTCAACAACTACTTTGTGATGTGTGCGTTCAACTCACAGAGTTTAACCTTTCTTTTCATAGAGCAGTTTGGAAACACTCTGTTTGTAAAGTCTGCAGGTGCTTATTTGGACTTCTTTGAGGCCTTCGTTGGAAACGGGATTTCTTCATATAATGCTAGACAGAAGAATTCTCAGTCACTTCTTTGTGTTGTGTGTATTCAAGTCACAGAGTTGAACCTTCCTTTACACAGAGCAGTTTTGAAAAACTCTTTCTGTGGAATTTGCAAGTGGAGATTTCAAGCGATTTGAGGCTAATGCTTTGAAATGGAAATAGCTTCGTGTAAAAACTACACAGAAATCATTCTCAGAAACTGCTTTGTTATGTGTGCGTTCAGCTCGCAGAGTTCCACCTTTCTTTTCATAGAGCAGTTTGGAAAGACTCTGTCTGTAAAGTCTGCAAGTGATTACTTGGACCCCTTTGAGGACTTCGTTGGAAGCGGTATTTTTTCATTTACTGCTAGACAGAAGAATTCTCAGTAAATCCTTTGTGTTGTGTGTATTCAACTCACAGAGTGGAACCTTCCTTTATTCAGAGCAGTTTTGAAACACTCTTTTTGTGGAAATTGCAAGTGGAGATTTCAAGTGAATTCACGCCAATCTTAGACATGGAAACATCTTCGTATTAAAAGTACACAGAGTCATTCGCAGAAACTAGTTTGTGATGTGTGCCTTCAACTCACGGAGTTTAACCTTTCTTTTCATAGAGCAGTTTGGAAACACTCTATTTGTAAAGTCTGCAAGTGGATATTTGGACCTCTTTGAGGCCTTCGTTGGAAACGGGATTTTTTCATATAACGCTAGACAGAAGAATTCTCAGTAACTTCTTTGTGTTGTTTGTATTCAACTCACAGATTTGAACCTTCCTTTAGAGAGAGCAGATTTGAAACACTCTGTTTTTGGAATTTGCAAGTGCAGATTACAAGCGCTTCTAGGCCTATGGCAGAAAAGGAAATATCTTCGTATAAAAACTACACAGAATCATTCTCAACAACTACTTTGTGATGTGTGCGTTCAACTCACAGAGTTTAACCTTTCTTTTCATAGAGCAGTTTGGAAACACTCTGTTTGTAAAGTCTGCAGGTGCTTATTTGGACTTCTTTGAGGCCTTCGTTGGAAACGGGATTTCTTCATGTAATGCTAGACAGAAGAATTCTCAGTCACTTCTTTGTGTTGTGTGTATTCAAGTCACAGAGTTGAACCTTCCTTTACACAGAGCAGTTTTGAAAAACTCTTTCTGTGGAATTTGCAAGTGGAGATTTCAAGCGATTTGAGGCTAATCTTTGAAATGGAAATAGCTTCGTGTAAAAACTACACAGAATCATTCTCAGAAACTGCTTTGTTATGTGTGCGTTCAGCTCACAGAGTTCCACCTTTGTTTTCATAGAGCAGTTTGGAAAGACTCTGTCTGTAAAGTCTGCAAGTGATTACTTGGACCCCTTTGAGGACTTCGTTGGAAGCGGGATTTTTTCATTTACTGCTAGACAGAAGAATTCTCAGTAAATCCTTTGTGTTGTGTGTATTCAACTCACAGAGTGGAACCTTCCTTTATTCAGAGCAGTTTTGAAACACTCTTTTTGTGGAATTTGCAAGTGGAGATTTCAAGCGAATTCACGCCAATCTTAGACATGGAAACATCTTCGTATTAAAAGTACACAGAGTCATTCGCAGAAACTAGTTTGTGATGTGTGCCTTCAACTCACAGAGTTTAACCTTTCTTTTCATAGAGCAGTTTGGAAACACTCTATTTGTAAAGTCTGCAAGTGGATATTTGGACCTCTTTGAGGCCTTCGTTGGAAACGGGATTTCTTCATATAACGCTAGACAGAAGAATTCTCAGTAACTTCTTTGTGTTGTGTGTATTCCACTCACAGAGTTGAACCTTTCTTGAGAGAGAGCAGAGTTGAAACACTCTGTTTGTGGAATTTGCTAGTGCAGATTTCAAACGCTTCGAAGACAGTGATAGAAAAGGATATATCTTCGTATTAAAACTAGACAAAATAATTCTCAGAAAACACTTTGTGATGTGTGTGTTCAACTCACAGAGTTTAACCTTTCTTTAATCGAGCAGTTTGGAAATACACTCTTTGTAAGTCTGCAGCTGGATAATTGTCCCTCTATGAGCCCTTCGTTGGAAACGGGATTTCCTCTTATAATGCTAGACAGAAGAATTCTCAGTAACTTCTTTGTGTTGTTTGTATTCAACCCACAGATTTGAACCTTCCTTTGGAGAGAGCAGATTTGAAACACTCTGTTTTTGGAATTTGCAAGTGCAGATTGCAAGCGCTTCTAGGCCTATGGCAGAAAAGGAAATATCTTCGTATAAAAACTACACAGAATCATTCTCAACAACTACTTTGTGATGTGTGCGTTCAACTCACAGAGTTTAACCTTTCTTTTCATAGAGCAGTTTGGAAACACTCTGTTTGTAAAGTCTGCAGGTGCTTATTTGGACTTCTTTGAGGCCTTCGTTGGAAACGGGATTTCTTCATATAATGCTAGACAGAAGAATTCTCAGTCACTTCTTTGTGTTGTGTGTATTCAAGTCACAGAGTTGAACCTTCCTTTACACAGAGCAGTTTTGAAAAACTCTTTCTGTGGAATTTGCAAGTGGAGATTTCAAGCGATTTGAGGCTAATCTTTGAAATGGAAATATCTTCGTGTAAAAACTACACAGAATCATTCTCAGAAACTGCTTTGTTATGTGTGCGTTCAGCTCACAGAGTTCCACCTTTCTTTTCATAGAGCAGTTTGGAAAGACTCTGTCTGTAAAGTCTGCAAGTGATTACTTGGACCCCTTTGAGGACTTCGTTGGAAGCGGGATTTTTTCATTTACTGCTAGACAGAAGAATTCTCAGTAAATCCTTTGTGTTGTGTGTATTCAACTCACAGAGTGGAACCTTCCTTTATTCAGAGCAGTTTTGAAACACTCTTTTTGTGGAATTTGCAAGTGGAGATTTCAAGCGAATTCACGCCAATCTTAGACATGGAAACATCTTCGTATTAAAAGTACACAGAGTCATTCGCAGAAACTAGTTTGTGATGTGTGCCTTCAACTCACGGAGTTTAACCTTTCTTTTCATAGAGCAGTTTGGAAACACTCTATTTGTAAAGTCTGCAAGTGGATATTTGGACCTCTTTGAGGCCTTCGTTGGAAACGGGATTTCTTCATATAACGCTAGACAGAAGAATTCTCAGTAACTTCTTTGTGTTGTGTGTATTCCACTCACAGAGTTGAACCTTTCTTGAGAGAGAGCAGAGTTGAAACACTCTGTTTGTGGAATTTGCCAGTGCAGATTTCAAACGCTTCGAAGACAATGATAGAAAAGGATATATCTTCGTATTAAAACTAGACAAAATCATTCTCAGAAAACACTTTGTGATGTGTGTGTTCAACTCACAGAGTTTAACCTTTCTTTAATCGATCAGTTTGGAAATACACTCTTTGTAAGTCTGCAGCTGGATAATTATCCCTCTATGAGCCCTTCGTTGCAAACGGGATTTCCTCATATAATGCTAGACAGAAGAATTCTCAGTAACTTCTTTGTGTTGTTTGTATTCCACTCACAGATTTGAACCTTCCTTTGGAGAGAGCAGATTTGAAACACTCTGTTTTTGGAATTTGCAAGTGCAGATTGCAAGCGCTTCTAGGCCTATGGCAGAAAAGGAAATATCTTCGTATAAAAACTACACAGAATCATTCTCAGAAAACACTTTGTGATGTGTGTGTTCAACTCACAGAGTTTAACCTTTCTTTAATCGAGCAGTTTGGAAATACACTCTTTGTAATTCTGCAGGTGGATAATTGTCCCTCTATGAGCCCTTCGTTGGAAACGGGATTTCCTCATATAATGCTAGACAGAAGAATTCTCAGTAACTTCTTTGTGTTGTTTGTATTCAACTCACAGATTTGAACCTTCCTTTGGAGAGAGCAGATTTGAAACACTCTGTTTTTGGAATTTGCAAGTGCAGATTGCAAGCGCTTCTAGGCCTATGGCAGAAAAGGAAATATCTTCGTATAAAAACTACACAGAATCATTCTCAACAACTACTTTGTGATGTGTGCGTTCAACTCACAGAGTTTAACCTTTCTTTTCATAGAGCAGTTTGGAAACACTCTGTTTGTAAAGTCTGCAGGTGCTTATTTGGACTTCTTTGAGGCCTTCGTTGGAAACGGGATTTCTTCATATAATGCTAGACAGAAGAATTCTCAGTCACTTCTTTGTGTTGTGTGTATTCAAGTCACAGAGTTGAACCTTCCTTTACACAGAGCAGTTTTGAAAAACTCTTTCTGTGGAATTTGCAAGTGGAGATTTCAAGCGATTTGAGGCTAATCTTTGAAATGGAAATATCTTCGTGTAAAAACTACACAGAATCATTCTCAGAAACTGCTTTGTTATGTGTGCGTTCAGCTCGCAGAGTTCCACCTTTCTTTTCATAGAGCAGTTTGGAAAGACTCTGTCTGTAAAGTCTGCAAGTGATTACTTGGACCCCTTTGAGGACTTCGTTGGAAGCGGTATTTTTTCATTTACTGCTAGACAGAAGAATTCTCAGTAAATCCTTCGTGTTGTGTGTATTCAACTCACAGAGTGGAACCTTCCTTTATTCAGAGCAGTTTTGAAACACTCTTTTTGTGGAATTTGCAAGTGGAGATTTCAAGCGAATTCACGCCAATCTTAGACATGGAAACATCTTCGGTATTAAAAGTACACAGAATCATTCTCAGGAAAACACTTTGTGATGTGTGTGTTCAACTCACAGAGTTTAACCTTTCTTTAATCGAGCAGTTTGGAAATACACTCTTTGTAAGTCTGCAGCTGGATAATTGTCCCTCTATGAGCCCTTCGTTGGAAACGGGATTTCCTCTTATAATGCTAGACAGAAGAATTCTCAGTAACTTCTTTGTGTTGTTTGTATTCAACTCACAGATTTGAACCTTCCTTTAGAGAGAGCAGATTTGAAACACTCTGTTTTTGGAATTTGCAAGTGCAGATTACAAGCGCTTCTAGGCCTATGGCAGAAAAGGAAATATCTTCGTATAAAAACTACACAGAATCATTCTCAACAACTACTTTGTGATGTGTGCGTTCAACTCACAGAGTTTAACCTTTCTTTTCATAGAGCAGTTTGGAAACACTCTGTTTGTAAAGTCTGCAGGTGCTTATTTGGACTTCTTTGAGGCCTTCGTTGGAAACGGGATTTCTTCATATAATGCTAGACAGAAGAATTCTCAGTCACTTCTTTGTGTTGTGTGTATTCAAGTCACAGAGTTGAACCTTCCTTTACACAGAGCAGTTTTGAAAAACTCTTTCTGTGGAATTTGCAAGTGGAGATTTCAAGCGATTTGAGGCTAATCTTTGAAATGGAAATATCTTCGTGTAAAAACTACACAGAATCATTGTCAGAAACTGCTTTGTTATGTGTGCGTTCAGCTCACAGAGTTCCACCTTTCTTTTCATAGAGCAGTTTGGAAAGACTCTGTCTGTAAAGTCTGCAAGTGATTACTTGGACCCCTTTGAGGACTTCGTTGGAAGCGGGATTTTTTCATTTACTGCTAGACAGAAGAATTCTCAGTAAATCCTTTGTGTTGTGTGTATTCAACTCACAGAGTTGAACCTTCCTTTATTCAGAGCACTTTTGAAACACTCTTTTTGTGGAATTTGCAAGTGGAGATTTCAAGCGAATTCACGCCAATCTTAGACATGGAAACATCTTCGTATTAAAAGTACACAGAGTCATTTGCAGAAACTAGTTTGTGATGTGTGCCTTCAACTCACGGAGTTTAACCTTTCTTTTCATAGAGCAGTTTGGAAACACTCTATTTGTAAAGTCTGCAAGTGGATATTTGGACCTCTTTGAGGCCTTCGTTGGAAACGGGATTTCTTCATATAACGCTAGACAGAAGAATTCTCAGTAACTTCTTTGTGTTGTGTGTATTCAAGTCACAGAGTTGAACCTTCCTTTACACAGAGCAGTTTTGAAAAACTCTTTCTGTGGAATTTGCAAGTGGAGATTTCAAGCGATTTGAGGCTAATCTTTGAAATGGAAATAGCTTCGTGTAAAAACTACACAGAATCATTCTCAGAAACTGCTTTGTTATGTGTGCGTTCAGCTCACAGAGTTCCACCTTTCTTTTCATAGAGCAGTTTGGAAAGACTCTGTCTGTAAAGTCTGCAAGTGATTACTTGGACCCCTTTGAGGACTTCGTTGGAAGCGGGATTTTTTCATTTACTGCTAGACAGAAAGAATTCTCAGTAAATCCTTTGTGTTGTGTGTATTCAACTCACAGAGTGGAACCTTCCTTTATTCAGAGCAGTTTTGAAACACTCTTTTTGTGGAATTTGCAAGTGGAGATTTCAAGCGAATTCACGCCAATCTTAGACATGGAAACATCTTCGTATTAAAAGTACACAGAGTCATTCGCAGAAACTAGTTTGTGATGTGTGCCTTCAACTCACAGAGTTTAACCTTTCTTTTCATAGAGCAGTTTGGAAACACTCTATTTGTAAAGTCTGCAAGTGGATATTTGGACCTCTTTGAGGCCTTCGTTGGAAACGGGATTTCTTCATATAACGCTAGACAGAAGAATTCTCAGTAACTTGTTTGTGTTGTGTGTATTCCACTCACAGAGTTGAACCTTTCTTGAGAGAGAGCAGAGTTGAAACACTCTTTTTGTGGAATTTGCTAGTGCAGATTTCAAACGCTTCGAAGACAGTGATAGAAAAGGATATATCTTCGTATTAAAACTAGACAAAATCATTCTCAGAAAACACTTTGTGATGTGTGTGTTCAACTCACAGAGTTTAACCTTTCTTTAATCGAGCAGTTTGGAAATACACTCTTTGTAAGTCTGCAGCTGGATAATTGTCCCTCTATGAGCCCTTCGTTGGAAACGGGATTTCCTCATATAATGCTAGACAGAAGAATTCTCAGTAACTTCTTTGTGTTGTTTGTATTCAACTCACAGATTTGAACCTTCCTTTGGAGAGAGCAGATTTGAAACACTCTGTTTTTGGAATTTGCAAGTGCAGATTGCAAGCGCTTCTAGGCCTATGGCAGAAAAGGAAATATCTTCGTATAAAAACTACACAGAATCATTCTCAACAACTACTTTGTGATGTGTGCGTTCAGCTCACAGAGTTTAACCTTTCTTTTCATAGAGCAGTTTGGAAACACTCTGTTTGTAAAGTCTGCAGGTGCTTATTTGGACTTCTTTGAGGCCTTCGTTGGAAACGGGATTTCTTCATATAATGCTAGACAGAAGAATTCTCAGTCACTTCTTTGTGTTGTGTGTATTCAAGTCACAGAGCTGAACCTTCCTTTACACAGAGCAGTTTTGAAAAACTCTTTCTGTGGAATTTGCAAGTGGAGATTTCAAGCGATTTGAGGCTAATCTTTGAAATGGAAATATCTTCGTGTAAAAACTACACAGAATCATTCTCAGAAACTGCTTTGTCATCTGTGCGTTCAGTTCACAGAGTTTCACCTTTCTCTTCATAGAGCAGTTTGGAAAGACTCTGTCTGTAAAGTCTGCAAGTGATTAGTTAGACCCCTTTGAGGCCTTCGTTGGAAGCGGGATTTCTCATTTACTGCTAGACAGAAGAATTCTCAGTAAATCCTTTGTGTTGTGTGTATTCAACTCACAGAGTGGAACCTTCCTTTATTCAGAGCAGTTTTGAAACACTCTTTTTGTGGAATTTGCAAGTGGAGATTTCAAGCGATTTGACGCCAATCTTAGACATGGAAATATCTTCATATTAAAAGTACACAGAGTCATTCGTAGAAACTAGTTTGTGATGTGTGCCTTCAACTCACAGAGTTTAACCTTTCTTTTCATAGAGCAGTTGGGAAACACTCTATTTGTAAAGTCTGCAAGTGGATATTTGGACCTCTTTGAGGCCTTCGTTGGAAACGGGATTTCTTCATACAACGCTAGACAGAAGAATTCTCAGTAACTTCTTTGTGTTGTGTGTATTCAACTCACAGAGTTGAACCTTTCTTTAGAGGGAGCAGAGGTGAAACACTCTTTTTGTGGAATTTGCTAGTGTAGATTTCAAACGCTTCGAAGACAGTGATAGAAAAGGATATATCTTCGTATTAAAAGTAGACAAAATCATTCTCAGAAAACTCTTTGTGATGTGTGTGTTCAACTCACAGAGTTTAACCTTTCTTTTCATAGAGCAGTTTGGAAACACTCTGTTTGTAAAGCCTGCAAGTGCTTTTTTGGACTTCATTGAGGCCTTCGTTGGAAACGGGATTTCTTCATACAACGCTAGACAGAAGAATTCTCAGTAACTTCTTTGTGTTGTGTGTATTCAACTCACAGAGTTGAACCTTTCTTTAGAGAGAGCAGAGTTGAAACACTCTGTTTTTGGAATTTGCAAGTGCAGATTTCAAGCGCTTCTAGGCCTATGGCAGAAAAGGAAATATCTTCGTATAAAAACTACACAGAATCATTCTCAACAACTACTTTGTGATGTGTGCGTACAACTCACAAAGTTTAACCTTTCTTTTCATAGAGCAGTTTGGAAACACTCTGTTTGTAAAGCCTGCAAGTGCTTTTTTGGACTTCATTGAGGCCTTCGTTGGAAACGGGATTTCTTCATACAATGCTAGACAGAAGAATTCTCAGTAAATCCTTTGTGTTGTGTTTATACAACTCACAGAGTGGAACCTTCCTTTATTCAGAGCAGTTTTGAAACACTCTTTTTGTGGAATTTGCAAGTGGAGATTTCAAGCGATTTGACGTCAATCTTAGACATGGAAATATCTTCATATTAAAAGTACACAGAATCATTCGTAGAAACTAGTTTGTGATGTGTGCCTTCAACTCACAGAGTTTAACCTTTCTTTTCATAGAGCAGTTCGGAAACACTCTATTTGTAAAGTCTGCAAGTGGATATTTGGACCTCTTTGAGGCCTTCGTTGGAAACGGGATTTCTTCATATAACGCTAGACAGAAGAATTTTCAGTAACTTCTTTGTGTTGTGTGTATTCAACTCACAGAGTTGAACTTTTCTTTAGAGAGAGCAGAGTTGAAACACTCTTTTTGTTTAATTTGCTAGTGCAGATTTCAAACGCTTCGAAGACAGTGATAGAAAAGGATATATCTTCATATTAAAACTAGACAAAATCATTCTCAACAACTACTTTGTGATGTGTGCGTTCAACTCACAGAGTTTAACCTTTCTTTTCATAGAGCAGTTTGGAAACACTCTGTTTGTAAAGCCTGCAAGTGCTTTTTTGGACTTCATTGAGGCCTTCGTTGGAAACGGGATTTCTTCATATAATGCTAGACAGAAGAATTCTCAGTCACTTCTTTGTGTTGTGTGTATTCAAGTCACAGAGTTGAACCTTCCTTTAGACAGAGCAGTTTTGAAAAATTCTTTCTGTGGAGTTTGCAAGTGGAGATTTCAAGCGATTTGAGGCTAATCTTTGAAATGGAAATATCTTCGTGTAAAAACTACACAGAATCATTCTCAGAAACTGCTTTGTCATCTGTGCGTTCAGTTCACAGAGTTTCACCTTTCTCTTCATAGAGCAGTTTGGAAAGACTCTGTCTGTAAAGTCTGCAGGTGATTAGTTAGACCCCTTTGAGGCCTTCGTTGGAAGCGGGATTTCTCATTTACTGCTAGACAGAAGAATTCTCAGTAAATCCTTTGTGTTGTGTGTATTCAACTCACAGAGTGGAACCTTCCTTTATTCAGAGCAGTTTTGAAAAACACTTTTTGTGGAATTTGCAAGTGGAGATTTCAAGCGATTTGACGCCAATCTTAGACATGGAAATATCTTCATATTAAAAGTACACAGAGTCATTCGTAGAAACTAGTTTGTGATGTGTGCCTTCAACTCACAGAGTTTAACCTTTCTTTTCATAGAGCAGTTTGGAAACACTATTTGTAAAGTCTGCAAGTGGATATTTGGACCTCTTTGAGGCCTTCGTTGGAAACGGGATTTCTTCATACAACGCTAGACAGAAGAATTCTCAGTAACTTCTTTGTGTTGTGTGTATTCAACTCACAGAGTTGAACCTTTCTTTAGAGAGAGCAGAGTTGAAACACTCTGTTTTTGGAATTTGCAAGTGTAGATTTCAAGCGATTCTAGGCCTATGGCAGAAAAGGAAATATCTTCGTATAAAAACTACACAGAATCATTCTCAACAACTACTTTGTGATGTGTGCGTTCAACTCACAAAGTTTAACCTTTCTTTTCATAGAGAAGTTTGGAAACACTCTGTTTGTAAAGCCTGCAAGTGCTTTTTTGGACTTCATTGAGGCCTTCGTTGGAAACGGGATTTCTTCATATAATGCTAGACAGAAGAATTCTCAGTAAATCCTTTGTGTTGTGTTTATTCAACTCACAGAGTGGAAACTTCTTTTATTCAGAGCAGTTTTGAAACACTCTTTTTGTGGAATTTGCAAGTGGAGATTTCAAGCGATTTGATGCCAATCTTAGACATGGAAATATCTTCATATTAAAAGTACACAGAATCATTCGTAGAAACTAGTTTGTGATGTGTGCCTTCAACTCACAGAGTTTAACCTTTCTATTCATAGAGCAGTTCGGAAACACTCTATTTGTAAAGTCTGCAAGTGGATATTTGGACCTCTTTGAGGCCTTCGTTGGAAAAGGGATTTCTTCATATAACGCTAGACAGAAGAATTCTCAGTAACTTCTTTGTGTTGTGTGTATTCCACTCACAGAGTTGAACCTTTCTTGAGAGAGAGCAGAGTTGAAACACTCTGTTTGTGGAATTTGCTAGTGCAGATTTCAAACGCTTCAAAGACAGTGATAGAAAAGGATATATCTTCGTATTAAAACTAGACAAAATCATTCTCAACAACTACTTTGTGATGTGTGCGTTCAACTCACAGAGTTTAACCTTTCTTTTCATAGAGCAGTTTGGAAACACTCTGTTTGTAAAGCCTGCAAGTGCTTTTTTGGACTTCATTGAGGCCTTCGTTGGAAACGGGATTTCTTCATATAATGCTAGACAGAAGAATTCTCAGTCACTTCTTTGTGTTGTGTGTATTCAAGTCACAGAGTTGAACCTTCCTTTAGACAGAGCAGTTTTGAAAAATTCTTTCTGTGGAGTTTGCAAGTGGAGATTTCAAGCGATTTGAGGCTAATCTTTGAAATGGAAATATCTTCGTGTAAAAACTACACAGAAATCATTCTCAACAAGTACTTTGTGATGTGTGCGTTCAACTCACAAAGTTTAACCTTTCTTTTCATAGAGAAGTTTGGAAACACTCTGTTTGTAAAGCCTGCAAGTGCTTTTTTGGACTTCATTGAGGCCTTCGTTGGAAACGGGATTTCTTCATATAATGCTAGACAGAAGAATTCTCAGTAAATCCTTTGTGTTGTGTGTATTCAACTCACAGAGTGGAACCTTCCTTTATTCAGAGCAGTTTTGAAACACTCTTTTTGTGGAATTTGCAAGTGGAGATTTCAAGCGATTTGACGCCAATCTTAGACATGGAAATATCTTCATATTAAAAGTACACAGAGTCATTCGTAGAAACTAGTTTGTGATGTGTGCCTTCAACTCACAGAGTTTAACCTTTCTTTTCATAGAGCAGTTGGGAAACACTCTATTTGTAAAGTCTGCAAGTGGATATTTGGACCTCTTTGAGGCCTTCGTTGGAAACGGGATTTCTTCATATAACGCTAGACAGAAGAATTCTCAGTAACTTCTTTGTGTTGTGTGTATTCAACTCACAGAGTTGAACCTTTCTTTAGAGGGAGCAGAGGTGAGACACTCTTTTTGTGGAATTTGCTAGTGTAGATTTCAAACGCTTCGAAGACAGTGATAGAAAAGGATATATCTTCGTATTAAAAGTAGACAAAATCATTCTCAGAAAACTCTTTGTGATGTGTGTGTTCAACTCACAGCAGTTTAACCTTTCTTTAATCGAGCAGTTTGGAAATACACTCTTTGTAAGTCTGCAGGTGGATATTTGGCCCTCTTTGAGCCCTTCGTTGGAAACGGGATTTCCTCATATAATGCTAGACAGAAGAATTCTCAGTCACTTCTTTGTGTTGTGTGTATTCAAGTCACAGAGTTGAACCTTCCTTTACACAGAGCAGTTTTGAAAAACTCTTTCTGTGGAATTTGCAAGTGGAGATTTCAAGCGATTTGAGGCTAATCTTTGAAATGGAAATATCTTCGTGTAAAAACTACACAGAATCATTCTCAGAAACTGCTTTGTTATGTGTGCGTTCAGCTCACAGAGTTCCACCTTTCTTTTCATAGAGCAGTTTGGAAAGACTCTGTCTGTAAAGTCTGCAAGTGATTACTTGGACCCCTTTGAGGACTTCGTTGGAAGCGGGATTTTTTCATTTACTGCTAGACAGAAGAATTCTCAGTAAATCCTTTGTGTTGTGTGTATTCAACTCACAGAGTGGAACCTTCCTTTATTCAGAGCAGTTTTGAAACACTCTTTTTGTGGAATTTGCAAGTGGAGATTTCAAGCGAATTCACGCCAATCTTAGACATGGAAACATCTTCGTATTAAAAGTACACAGAGTCATTCGCAGAAACTAGTTTGTGATGTGTGCCTTCAACTCACAGAGTTTAACCTTTCTTTTCATAGAGCAGTTTGGAAACACTCTATTTGTAAAGTCTGCAAGTGGATATTTGGGACCTCTTTGAGGCCTTCGTTGGAAACGGGATTTCTTCATATAACGCTAGACAGAAGAATTCTCAGTAACTTCTTTGTGTTGTTTGTATTCAACACACAGATTTGAACCTTCCTTTAGAGAGAGCAGATTTGAAACACTCTGTTTTTGGAATTTGCAAGTGCAGATTTCAAACGCTTCTAGGCCTATGGCAGAAAAGGAAATATCTTCGTATAAAAACTACACAGAATCATTCTCAACAACTACTTTGTGATGTGTGCGTTCAACTCACAGAGTTTAACCTTTCTTTTCATAGAGCAGTTTGGAAACACTCTGTTTGTAAAGTCTGCAGGTGCTTATTTGGACTTCTTTGAGGCCTTCGTTGGAAACGGGATTTCTTCATGTAATGCTAGATAGAAGAATTCTCAGTCACTTCTTTGTGTTGTGTGTATTCAAGTCACAGAGTTGAACCTTCCTTTACACAGAGCAGTTTTGAAAAACTCTTTCTGTGGAATTTGCAAGTGGAGATTTCAAGCGATTTGAGGCTAATCTTTGAAATGGAAATATCTTCGTGTAAAAACTACACAGAATCATTCTCAGAAACTGCTTTGTTATGTGTGCGTTCAGCTCACAGAGTTCCATCTTTCTTTTCATAGAGCAGTTTGGAAAGACTCTGTCTGTAAAGTCTGCAAGTGATTACTTGGACCCCTTTGAGGACTTCGTTGGAAGCGGGATTTTTTCATTTACTGCTAGAAAGAAGAATTCTCAGTAAATCCTTTGTGTTGTGTGTATTCAACTCACAGAGTGGAACCTTCCTTTATTCAGAGCACTTTTGAAACACTCTTTTTGTGGAATTTGCAAGTGGAGATTTCAAGCGAATTCACGCCAATCTTAGACATGGAAACATCTTCGTATTAAAAGTACACAGAGTCATTCGCAGAAACTAGTTTGTGATGTGTGCCTTCAACTCACGGAGTTTAACCTTTCTTTTCATAGAGCAGTTTGGAAACACTCTATTTGTAAAGTCTGCAAGTGGATATTTGGACCTCTTTGAGGCCTTCGTTGGAAACGGGATTTCTTCATATAACGCTAGACAGAAGAATTCTCAGTAACTTCTTTGTGTTGTGTGTATTCCACTCACAGAGTTGAACCTTTCTTGAGAGAGAGCAGAGTTGAAACACTCTTTTTGTGGAATTTGCTAGTGCAGATTTCAAACGCTTCGAAGACAGTGATAGAAAAGGATATATCTTCGTATTAAAACTAGACAAAATCATTCTCAGAAAACACTTTGTGATGTGTGTGTTCAACTCACAGAGTTTAACCTTTCTTTAATCGAGCAGTTTGGAAATACACTCTTTGTAAGTCTGCAGCTGGATAATTGTCCCTCTATGAGCCCTTCGTTGGAAACGGGATTTCCTCTTATAATGCTAGACAGAAGAATTCTCAGTAACTTCTTTGTGTTGTTTGTATTCAACTCACAGATTTGAACCTTCCTTTGGAGAGAGCAGATTTGAAACACTCTGTTTTTGGAATTTGCAAGTGCAGATTGCAAGCGCTTCTAGGCCTATGGCAGAAAATTAAATATCTTCGTATAAAAACTACACAGAATCATTCTCAACAACTACTTTGTGATGTGTGCGTTCAACTCCCAGAGTTTAACCTTTCTTTTCATAGAGCAGTTTGGAAACACTCTGTTTGTAAAGCCTGCAAGTGCTTTTTTGGACTTCATTGAGGCCTTCGTTGGAAACGGGATTTCTTCATATAATGCTAGACAGAAGAATTCTCAGTCACTTCTTTGTGTTGTGTGTATTCAAGTCACAGAGGTGAACCTTCTTTTAGACAGAGCAGTTTTGAAAAATTCTTTCTGTGGAATTTGCAATTGGAGATTTTAAGCGATTTGAGGCTAATCTTTGAAATGGAAATATCTTCGTGTCAAAACTACACAGAATCATTCTCAGAAACTGCTTTGTTATCTGTGCGTTCAGTTCACAGAGTTTCACCTTTCTCTTCATAGAGCAGTTTGGAAAGACTCTGTCTGTAAAGTCTGCAAGTGATTAGTTAGACCCCTTTGAGGCCTTCGTTGGAAGCGGGATTTCTCATTTACTGCTAGACAGAAGAATTCTCAGTAAATCCTTTGTGTTGTGTGTATTCAACTCACAGAGTGGAACCTTCCTTTATTCAGAGCAGTTTTGAAAAACACTTTTTGTGGAATTTGCAAGTGGAGATTTCAAGCGATTTGATGCCAATCTTAGACATGGAAATATCTTCATATTAAAAGTACACAGAGTCATTCGTAGAAACTAGTTTGTGATGTGTGCCTTCAACTCACAGAGTTTAACCTTTCTTTTCATAGAGCAGTTGGGAAACACTCTATTTGTAAAGTCTGCAAGTGGATATTTGGACCTCTTTGAGGCCTTCGTTGGAAATGGGATTTCTTCATACAACACTAGACAGAAGAATTCTCAGTAACTTCTTTGTGTTGTGTGTATTCAACTCACAGAGTTGAACTTTTCTTTAGAGAGAGCAGAGTTGAAACACTCTGTTTTTGGAATTTGCAAGTGCAGATTTCAAGCGATTCTAGGCCTATGGCAGGAAAGGAAATATCTTCGTATGAAAACTACACAGAATCATTCTCAACAACTACTTTGTGATGTGTGCGTTCAACTCACAAAGTTTAACCTTTCTTTTCATAGAGCAGTTTGGAAACACGCTGTTTGTAAAGCCTGCAAGTGCTTTTTTGGACTTCATTGAGGCCTTCGTTGGAAACGGGATTTCTTCATATAATGCTAGACAGAAGAATTCTCAGTAAATCATTTGTGTTGCGTTTATTCAACTCACAGAGTGGAACCTTCCTTTATTCAGAGCAGTTTTGAAACACTCTTTTTGTGGAATTTGCAAGTGGAGATTTCAAGCGATTTGATGCCAATCTTAGACATGGAAATATCTTCATATTAAAAGTACACAGAATCATTCGTAGAAACTAGTTTGTGATGTGTGCCTTCAACTCACAGAGTTTAACCTTTCTTTTCATAGAGCAGTTCGGAAACACTCTATTTGTAAAGTCTGCAAGTGGATATTTGGACCTCTTTGAGGCCATCGTTGGAAAAGGGATTTCTTCATATAACGCTAGACAGAAGAATTTTCAGTAACTTCTTGTGTTGTGTGTATTCAACTCACAGAGTTCAACTTTTCTTTAGAGAGAGCAGAGTTGAAACACTCTTTTTGTGGAATTTGCTAGTGCAGATTTCAAACGCTTCGAAGACAGTGATAGCAAAGGATATACCTTCGTATTAAAACTAGACAAAATCATTCTCAGAAAACACTTTGTGATGTGTGTGTTCAACTCACAGAGTTTAACCTTTCTTTAATCGAGCAGTTTGGAAATACACTCTTTGTAAGTCTGCAGGTGGATAATTGGCCCTCTTTGAGCCCTTCGTTGGAAACGGGATTTCCTCATATAATGCTAGACAGAAGAATTCTCAGTAACTTCTTTGTGTTGTTTGTATTCAACTCACAGATTTGAACCTTCCTTTAGAGAGAGCAGATTTGAAACACTCTGTTTTTGGAATTTGCAAGTGCAGATCTCAAGCGCTTCTAGGCCTATGGCAGAAAAGGAAATATGCTTCGTAGAAAAACTACACAGAATCATTCTCAACAACTACTTTGTGATGTGTGCGTTCAACTCCCAGAGTTTAACCTTTCTTTTCATAGAGCAGTTTGGAAACACTCTGTTTGTAAAGCCTGCAAGTGCTTTTTTGGACTTCATTGAGGCCTTCGTTGGAAACGGGATTTCTTCATATAATGCTAGACAGAAGAATTCTCAGTCACTTCTTTGTGTTGTGTGTATTCAAGTCACAGAGTTGAACCTTCTTTTAGACAGAGCAGTTTTGAAAAATTCTTTCTGTGGAATTTGCAATTGGAGATTTTAAGAGATTTGAGGCTAATCTTTGAAATGGAAATATCTTCGTGTAAAAACTACACAGAATCATTCTCAGAAACTGCTTTGTTATCTGTGCGTTCAGTTCACAGAGTTTCACCTTTCTCTTCATAGAGCAGTTTGGAAAGACTCTGTCTGTAAAGTCTGCAAGTGATTAGTTAGACCCCTTTGAGGCCTTCGTTGGAAGCGGGATTTCTCATTTACTGCTAGACAGAAGAATTCTCAGTAAATCCTTTGTGTTGTGTGTATTCAACTCACAGAGTGGAACCTTCCTTTATTCAGAGCAGTTTTGAAAAACACTTTTTGTGGAATTTGCAAGTGGAGATTTCAAGCGATTTGACGCCAATCTTAGACATGGAAATATCTTCATATTAAAAGTACACAGAGTCATTCGTAGAAACTAGTTTGTGATGTGTGCCTTCAACTCACAGAGTTTAACCTTTCTTTTCATAGAGCAGTTTGGAAACACTCTATTTGTAAAGTCTGCAAGTGGATATTTGGACCTCTTTGAGGCCTTCGTTGGAAACGGGATTTCTTCATACAACGCTAGACAGAAGAATTCTCAGTAACTTCTTTGTGTTGTGTGTATTCAACTCACAGAGTTGAACCTTTCTTTAGAGAGAGCAGAGTTGAAACACTCTGTTTTTGGAATTTGCAACTGCAGATTTCAAGCGCTTCTAGGCCTATGGCAGAAAAGGAAATATCTTCGTATAAAAACTACACAGAATCATTCTCAACAACGACTTTGTGATGTGTGCGTTCAACTCACAGAGTTTAACCTTTCTTTTCATAGAGCAGTTTGGAAACACTCTGTTTGTAAAGCCTGCAAGTGCTTTTTTGGACTTCATTGAGGCCTTCGTTGGAAACGGGATTTCTTCATGTAATGCTAGACAGAAGAATTCTCAGTCACTTCTTTGTGTTGTGTGTATTCAAGTCACAGAGTTGAACCTTCCTTTAGACAGAGCAGTTTTGAAAAATTCTTTCTGTGTAATTTGCAAGTGGAGATTTCAAGCGATTTGAGGCTAATCTTTGAAATGGAAATATCTTCGTGTAAAAACTACACAGAATCATTCTCAGAAACTGCTTTGTCATCTGTGCGTTCAGTTCACAGAGTTTCACCTTTCTCTTCATAGAGCAGTTTGGAAAGACTCTGTCTGTAAAGTCTGCAAGTGATTAGTTAGACCCCTTTGAGGCCTTCGTTGGAAGCGGGATTTCTCATTTACTGCTAGACAGAAGAATTCTCAGTAAATCCTTTGTGTTGTGTGTATTCAACTCACAGAGTGGAACCTTCCTTTATTCAGAGCAGTTTTGAAACACTCTTTTTGTGGAATTTGCAAGTGGAGATTTCAAGCGATTTGACGCCAATCTTAGACATGGAAATATCTTCATATTAAAAGTACACAGAGTCATTCGTAGAAACTAGTTTGTGATGTGTGCCTTCAACTCACAGAGTTTAACCTTTCTTTTCATAGAGCAGTTGGGAAACACTCTATTTGTAAAGTCTGCAAGTGGATATTTGGACCTCTTTGAGGCCTTCGTTGGAAACGGGATTTCTTCATATAACGCTAGACAGAAGAATTCTCAGTAACTTCTTTGTGTTGTGTGTATTCAACTCACAGAGTTGAACCTTTCTTTAGAGGGAGCAGAGGTGAAACACTCTTTTTGTGGAATTTGCTAGTGTAGATTTCAAACGCTTCGAAGACAGTGATAGAAAAGGATATATCTTCGTATTAAAAGTAGACAAAATCATTCTCAGAAAACTCTTTGTGATGTGTGTGTTCAACTCACAGAGTTTAACCTTTCTTTAATCGAGCAGTTTGGAAATACACTCTTTGTAAGTCTGCTGGTGGATATTTGGCCCTCTTTGAGCCCTTCGTTGGAAACGGGATTTCCTCATATAATGCTAGACAGAAGAATTCTCAGTAACTTCTTTGTGTTGTTTGTATTCAACTCACAGATTTGAACCTTCCTTTAGAGAGAGCAGATTTGAAACACTCTGTTTTTGGAATTTGCAAGTGCAGATTACAAGCGCTTCTAGGCCTATGGCAGAAAAGGAAATATCTTCGTATAAAAACTACACAGAATCATTCTCAACAACTACTTTGTGATGTGTGCGTTCAACTCACAGAGTTTAACCTTTCTTTTCATAGAGCAGTTTGGAAACACTCTGTTTGTAAAGTCTGCAGGTGCTTATTTGGACTTCTTTGAGGCCTTCGTTGGAAACGGGATTTCTTCATATAATGCTAGACAGAAGAATTCTCAGTCACTTCTTTGTGTTGTGTGTATTCAAGTCACAGAGTTGAACCTTCCTTTACACAGAGCAGTTTTGATAAACTCTTTCTGTGGAATTTGCAAGTGGAGATTTCAAGCGATTTGAGGCTAATCTTTGAAATGGAAATAGCTTCGTGTAAAAACTACACAGAATCATTGTCAGAAACTGCTTTGTTATGTGTGCGTTCAGCTCACAGAGTTCCACCTTTCTTTTCATAGAGCAGTTTGGAAAGACTCTGTCTGTAAATTCTGCAAGTGATTACTTGGACCCCTTTGAGGACTTCGTTGGAAGCGGGATTTTTTCATTTACTGCTAGACAGAAGAATTCTCAGTAAATCCTTTGTGTTGTGTGTATTCAACTCACAGAGTGGAACCTTGCTTTATTCAGAGCAGTTTTGAAACACTCTTTTTGTGGAAATTGCAAGTGGAGATTTCAAGCGAATTCACGCCAATCTTAGACGTGGAAACATCTTCGTATTAAAAGTACACAGAGTCATTCGCAGAAACTAGTTTGTGATGTGTGCCTTCAACTCACGGAGTTTAACCTTTCTTTTCATAGAGCAGTTTGGAAACACTCTCTTTGTAAAGTCTGCAAGTGGATATTTGGACCTCTTTGAGGCCTTCGTTGGAAACGGGATTTCTTCATATAACGCTAGACAGAAGAATTCTCAGTAACTTCTTTGTGTTGTGTGTATTCCACTCACAGAGTTGAACCTTTCTTGAGAGAGAGCAGAGTTGAAACACTCTTTCTGTGGAATTTGCTAGTGCAGATTTCAAACGCTTCGAAGACAGTGATAGAAAAGGATATATCTTCGTATTAAAACTAGACAAAATCATTCTCAGAAAACACTTTGTGATGTGTGTGTTCAACTCACAGAGTTTAACCTTTCTTTAATCGAGCAGTTTGGAAATACACTCTTTGTAAGTCTGCAGCTGGATAATTGTCCCTCTAGGAGCCCTTCGTTGGAAACGGGATTTCCTCTTATAATGCTAGACAGAAGAATTCTCAGTCACTTCTTTGTGTTGTGTGTATTCAAGTCACAGAGTTGAACCTTCCTTTAGACAGAGCAGTTTTGAAAAATTCTTTCTGTGGAGTTTGCAAGTGGAGATTTCAAGCGATTTGAGGCTAATCTTTGAAATGGAAATATCTTCGTGTAAAAACTACACAGAATCATTCTCAGAAACTGCTTTGTCATCTGTGCGTTCAGTTCACAGAGTTTCACCTTTCTCTTCATAGAGCAGTTTGGAAAGACTCTGTCTGTAAAGTCTGCAAGTGATTAGTTAGACCCCTTTGAGGCCTTCGTTGGAAGCGGGATTTCTCATTTACTGCTAGACAGAAGAATTCTCAGTAAATCCTTTGTGTTGTGTGTATTCAACTCACAGAGTGGAACCTTCCTTTATTCAGAGCAGTTTTGAAACACTCTTTTTGTGGAATTTGCAAGTGGAGATTTCAAGCGATTTGACGCCAATCTTAGACATGGAAATATCTTCATATTAAAAGTACACAGAGTCATTCGTAGAAACTAGTTTGTGATGTGTGCCTTCAACTCACAGAGTTTAACCTTTCTTTTCATAGAGCAGTTGGGAAACACTCTATTTGTAAAGTCTGCAAGTGGATATTTGGACCTCTTTGAGGCCTTCGTTGGAAACGGGATTTCTTCATATAACGCTAGACAGAAGAATTCTCAGTAACTTCTTTGTGTTGTGTGTATTCAACTCACAGAGTTGAACCTTTCTTTAGAGGGAGCAGAGGTGAAACAGTCTTTTTGTGGAATTTGCCAGTGTAGATTTCAAACGCTTCGAAGTCAGTGATAGAAAAGGAGATATCTTCGTATTAAAAGTAGACAAAATCATTCTCAGAAAACTCTTTGTGATGTGTGTGTTCAACTCACAGAGTTTAACCTTTCTTTAATCGAGCAGTTTGGAAATACACTCTTTGTAAGTCTGCAGGTGGATATTTGGCCCTCTTTGAGCCCTTCTTTGGAAACGGGATTTCCTCCTATAATGCTAGACAGAAGAATTCTCAGTCACTTCTTTGTGTTGTGTGTATTCAAGTCACAGAGTTGAACCTTCTTTTAGACAGGGCAGTTTTGAAAAATTCTTTCTGTGGAATTTGCAAGTGGAGATTTCAAGCGATTTGAGGCTAATCTTTGAAATGGAAATATCTTCGTGTAAAAACTACACAGAATCATTCTCAGAAACTGCTTTGTCATCTGTGCGTTCAGTTCACAGAGTTTCACCTTTCTCTTCATAGAGCAGTTTGGAAAGACTCTGTCTGTAAAGTCTGCAAGTGATTAGTTAGAACCCTTTGAGGCCTTCGTTGGAAGCGGGATTTCTCATTTACTGCTAGACAGAAGAATTCTCAGTAAATCCTTTGTGTTGTGTGTATTCAACTCACAGAGTGGAACCTTCCTTTATTCAGAGCAGTTTTGAAACACTCTTTTTGTGGAATTTGCAAGTGGAGATTTCAAGCGATTTGACGCCAATCTTAGACATGGAAATATCTTCATATTAAAAGTACACAGAGTCATTCGTAGAAACTAGTTTGTGATGTGTGCCTTCAACTCACAGAGTTTAACCTTTCTTTTCATAGAGCAGTTCGGAAAAACTCTATTTGTAAAGTCTGCAAGTGGATATTTGGACCTCTTTGAGGCCTTCGTTGGAAACGGGATTTCTTCATATAACGCTTGACAGAAGAATTCTCAGTAACTTCTTTGTGTTGTGTGTATTCAGCTCACAGAGTTGAACCTTTCCTGAGAGAGAGCAGAGTTGACACACTCTTTTTGTGGAATTTGCTAGTGCAGATTTCAAACGCTTCGAAGACAGTGATAGAAAAGGATATATCTTCGTATTAAAACTAGACAAAATCAATCTCAGAAAACACTTTGTGATGTGTGTGTTCAACTCACAGAGTTTAACCTTTCTTTAATCGAGCAGTTTGGAAATACACTCTTTGTAAGTCTGCAGGTGGATAATTGGCCCTCTTTGAGCTCTTCGTTGGAAACGGGATTTCCTCATATAATGCTAGACAGAAGAATTCTCAGTAACTTCTTTGTGTTGTTTGTATTCAACTCACAGATTTGAACCTTCCTTTAGAGAGAGCAGATTTGAAACACTCTGTTTTTGGAATTTGCAAGTGCAGATTTCAAGCGCTTCTAGGCCTATGGCAGAAAAGGAAATATATTCGTATAAAAACTACACAGAATCATTCTCAACAACTACTTTGTGATGTGTGCGTTCAACTCACAGAGTTTAACCTTTCTTTTCATAGAGCAGTTTGGAAACACTCTGTTTGTAAAGCCTGCAAGTGCTTTTTTGGACTTCATTGAGGCCTTCGTTGGAAACGGGATTTCTTCATATAATGCTAGACAGAAGAATTCTCAGTCACTTCTTTGTGTTGTGTGTATTCAAGTCACAGAGTTGAACCTTCCTTTAGACAGAGCAGTTTTGAAAAATTCTTTCTGTGTAATTTGCAAGTGGAGATTTCAAGCGATTTGAGGCTAATCTTTGAAATGGAAATATCTTCGTGTAAAAACTGCACAGAATCATTCTCAGAAACTGCTTTGTTATCTGTGCGTTCAGTTCACAGAGTTTCACCTTTCTCTTCATAGAGCAGTTTGGAAAGACTCTGTCTGTAAAGTCTGCAAGTGATTAGTTAGACCCCTTTGAGGCCTTCGTTGGAAGCGGGATTTCTCATTTACTGCTAGACAGAAGAATTCTCAGTAAATCCTTTGTGTTGTGTGTATTCAACTTACAGAGTGGAACCTTCCTTTATTCAGAGCAGTTTTGAAAAACACTTTTTGTGGAATTTGCAAGTGGAGATTTCAAGCGATTTGACGCCTATCTTAGACATGGAAATATCTTCATATTAAAAGTACACAGAATCATTCTCAGAAAACACTTTGTGATGTGTGTGTTCAACTCACAGAGTTTAACCTTTCTTTAATCGAGCAGTTTGGAAATACACTCTTTGTAAGTCTGCAGCTGGATAATTGTCCCTACTATGAGCCCTTCGTTGGAAACGGGATTTCCTCATATAATGCTAGACAGAAGAATTCTCAGTAACTTCTTTGTGTTGTTTGTATTCAACTCACAGATTTGAACCTTCCTTTAGAGAGAGCAGATTTGAAACACTCTGGTTTTGGAATTTGCAAGTGCAGATTACAAGCGCTTCTAGGCCTATGGCAGAAAAGGAAATATCTTCGTATAAAAACTACACAGAATCATTCTCAACAACTACTTTGTGATGTGTGCGTTCAACTCACAGAGTTTAACCTTTCTTTTCATAGAGCAGTTTGGAAACACTCTGTTTGTAAAGTCTGCAGGTGCTTATTTGGACTTCTTTGAGGCCTTCGTTGGAAACGGGATTTCTTCATATAATGCTAGACAGAAGAATTCTCAGTCACTTCTTTGTGTTGTGTGTATTCAAGTCACAGAGTTGAACCTTCCTTTACACAGAGCAGTTTTGAAAAACTCTTTCTGTGGAATTTGCAAGTGGAGATTTCAAGCGATTTGAGGCTAATCTTTGAAATGGAAATATCTTCGTGTAAAAACTACACAGAATCATTCTCAGAAACTGCTTTGTTATGTGTGCGTTCAGCTCACAGAGTTCCACCTTTCTTTTCATAGAGCAGTTTGGAAAGACTCTGTCTGTAAAGTCTGCAAGTGATTACTTGGACCCCTTTGAGGACTTCGTTGGAAGCGGGATTTTTTCATTTACTGCTAGACAGAAGAATTCTCAGTAAATCCTTTGTGTTGTGTGTATTCAACTCACAGAGTGGAACCTTCCTTTATTCAGAGCAGTTTTGAAACACTCTTTTTGTGGAATTTGCAAGTGGAGATTTCAAGCGAATTCACGCCAATCTTAGACATGGAAACATCTTCGTATTAAAAGTACACAGAGTCATTCGCAGAAACTAGTTTGTGATGTGTGCCTTCAACTCACGGAGTTTAACCTTTCTTTTCATAGAGCAGTTTGGAAACACTCTATTTGTTAAGTCTGCAAGTGGATATTTGACCTCTTTGAGGCCTTCGTTGGAAACGGGATTTCTTCATATAACGCTAGACAGAAGAATTCTCAGTAACTTCTTTGTGTTGTTTGTATTCAACTCACAGATTTGAACCTTCCTTTAGAGAGAGCAGATTTGAAACACTCTGTTTTTGGAATTTGCAAGTGCAGATTTCAAGCGCTTCTAGGCCTATGGCAGAAAAGGAAATATCTTCGTATACAAACTACACAGAATCATTCTCAACAACTACTTTGTGATGTGTGCGTTCAACTCACAGAGTTTAACCTTTCTTTTCATAGAGCAGTTTGGAAACACTCTGTTTGTAAATCCTGCAAGTGCTTTTTTGGACTTCATTGAGGCCTTCGTTGGAAACGGGATTTCTTCATATAATGCTAGACAGAAGAATTCTCAGTCACTTCTTTGTGTTGTGTGTATTCAAGTCACAGAGTTGAACCTTCCTTTAGACAGAGCAGTTTTGAAAAATTCTTTCTGTGGAATTTGCAAGTGGAGATTTCAAGCGATTTGAGGCTAATCTTTGAAATGGAAATATCTTCGTGTAAAAACTACACAGAATCATTCTCAGAAACTGCTTTGTCATCTGTGCGTTCAGTTCACAGAGTTTCACCTTTCTCTTCATAGAGCAGTTTGGAAAGACTCTGTCTGTAAAGTCTGCAAGTGACTAGTTAGACCCCTTTGAGGCCTTCGTTGGAATCGGGATTTCTCATTTACTGCTAGACAGA